>NC_000014.9:72187470-72338985 GCF_000001405.40 Homo sapiens | reverse complement strand
TTATTTTTTTAAAGCTAGTCCTATTTCTAAAATTTAGGTGAGCATGCAGGCAAAATCTCTCAGGGCAGTGCCTGCCACACAGTTACTCACTCCTCAATAATGTTCATTTCCCTTTCCTTCACAATTGGTTTTAATTTCTTCTTCTATCTGTAGCAAATGAATAACCACAGAAGCTTCTACAGCTCCCTTCAGAAGCATGTGATAGACCTTCTTTTGTGCAGCTCCCAGAGGACAGCAGCTGGGATTGGAGACCTATGCTTTCCAAGCAGGTATCACCAACGTCACTTCTCACATAACAAGCCCCAGTTTGTATAGGTTTGTAAGAGTTCCTATATGATACTCTTAAAAGGCAAAATATGATCATTTAACTCCCCTACCTATGTAGAAAATGATTATTTCATTAACCAACTCTGCACTAATTCTGTGCTTCTGATATGGTTTGGCTGTGTCCCCACCCAAATCTTATCTTGAAGTGTATCTCCCTTAATTCCCACATGTTACGGGAGGACCTAGTGGAGAGATAATTGAATCATGGGTTTCCCCCCTACTGTTCTCATGGTAGTGAATAAGTCTCCTGAGATCTGATTATTTTAAAGGGGTTTCCTCTTTTGCTTGGCTCTCACTCTCTTGGCTCTCATTTTCTCTTGCCTGCCACCATGTAAGATGTGCCTTTCGCCTTCTGCCATGATTGTGAGGCCTCCCCAACCACGTGGAACCGTGAGTCTGTTAAACCTCTTTTTCTTTATAAATTACCCAGTCTTGGGTATGTCTTTATCAGCATTGTGAAAACTAATACAGCTTCTCAGAGCAGCCTTATCTTTATCCACCTTATGGCCCAAGTTCCATTACATGGCAGGACAAGCAGCAGGACTTTCCTGCCTACAGGTAGCACCTTGTCAAGGGGAGGCCCATATCTGCCTGGAGAAAAAATAAGCTATGCAGGCTCAGGCAAAGGTGTTTTTAAACTTCCAAATTCTTTGCTTCCTGTTCCTGAAATCACAGACTGAAAGAGAAACTTATTTTTCATCCCCAAGAAAATGAGATTTGATAAAGCATGTATCTATCTGATTTAATTCTGATTTTAATCTAAGAAGAAACCCTGGGTGACTCTGGGAAGCATTTGATGGACTGTAGGCTGCACAATGAAATTCAGTGGGATAAATACCAGCATCTGAAAATAAACCCCTTATTCCCCTTGGGAGAGCAGCAGGGTCATTTGCCAATTGCTTCTGTTAATCATACAGATTAAAAGGTTTTTGTAGCTTGTCTCCCTGTAGCTCTTCTGCAACAGGAGGATGAGCAAGTGTAAGGCAGAGCCTGCAGCATAGTCAGGCAGGGCCTAGGAAAACCCCTGGGCCCAGCCCCATTTAGGAGGGAGATGGCCTGTGGCTGTGCTGCCTACCACTCATCGAACCGGCCAGGTCACCTCACTGCTCATGTTTGGATGGGGATGTTGCTGTCTACCCTACCTGGTCATCAGGAGAAATGAGAGAGGGCAAGGTTGTAAGTAGAGGGAGAACCCAGCACCTCTGCTCTAAACAATAGGGTCCTTCTCTTCTCCTTCCTCTGCTTGTGGGTTAAGGAGTTGCAGGGAACCAGGAGGTAGAGAGGAGCGATGCAGATCTGAGAAACCACTGCATTGGAAACACGGACCATAATAATGTGGAAAGTTTACCCCTGACTTAAGAAGAAAGGCTTTTACAGGGGAGGGGGTGTTGGTTAGGTGGTGGGGGTTAGAGGTTGAAATGGGTGATGGGGGTGGGAGTCAGTTCCAGAGCTGAGCCACATCAGAAGCACCACAGTCTCATGGGAAACTTTCCTAATGGTGGCTCCATCTGCTTCCAGGAGCTTTGCCTGATGGGTGATATTCCTATGACAACTCTTTGGGAATCCCCTTGTTATGGACTGAATTGTGCCCCACTCCAAATCGAGACATTGAAGTCCTAACTTTCAGTACCTCAGAATGTGATCTCATTTGGAAATAGGGCCTTTACAGAGGTAATCGAGTTAAAATGAGGTTGTTAGTGTGGATCTTAATCCAAAATGACTGATGTCCTTATAAAAAGGGGAAATTTAGACACAGACAGGCACACACAGAGGGAAGATACTGTGAAGAAACACAGGGGGCAAAGTCATCTACAGGCCAGAGAGAGAGGCTGGGAACAGATCCTTTCCTGGCAGCCCCGAGAAGGAACCAACCCTGTCTTGATCGTAGACTTCTGGTCTCCAGAACTGTAGTTAATAATTGTCTGTTACTTAGCCCACCCACTTTGTGATACTTAACTATGGCAGCCCTAGCAAGCTAATGTACTCCTGAAATGACTTTGCAGATCATAGAAATTATTTTTTTCCAACTCTTTCTGCTTAACATGTAATGAAAACTATTTTCTCTCATCTTCCCTTTCTGTCCTCTCTCTCTTCCTCTTCCCCACTGCCTCTCCCTATGCGCGCTCTCTCTCTCTCTCTCTCTCTCAGGAGATGACACCTAATTATTTCCAAATTAGACAGCTTTCCATGAGCCAAACTAACTAATTTGACTTCTTGCATATTGTCTGATCTCCAGTAAGCCACACAACATATAGTACTTCAAAGCTTAGCTTTCTGAAAGCCAATACTCTGTCTAATGTTAGGGGATAAGAATGAATGCCAGATTCATAGTCCAGATTTAAAACTAGGAGGGTCAAGAAAGACACTGTTTTCTAGAATCAGGAGTGAGAAGTGGCATGATTAGAGTAGTCTTTCATTTGTTTTAAGATGACATAAAGTAAGGAATAAATGTAAACCCTTATACTTATGGCATAGATATATAGTTAGAACAACACACAATTTGAGAGATAAGTGACTCAGTAGCCCAAATAGAAGATACTTTGCAATTAAGTCAACTGAAAAATTGTAATATAATATGGCAGCAAAAGAAAAAGGTGAATTTGATCTCAGGATGCATTAACAGAAACATGATGACCTGAGTGAGAGGTGGAGTTCCTTCATCTGCTTCCAGTTCACACTGAGGAATACCGAGTTCCCTTCCGGCACTAGACTTAGGAGGACATCCACAAGCTGTGGTGATTATCAAAGCCAGTGACCTAGATCCTGTGAAAGCATTTTAGCAGCAGGGTAGAGGCTGGCAGGAGAGTGATTAGATCTTCTTCCCGAATATCTTATCAATTTAAACCGAGCTTGTCCAGCCAGTGGCCCACAGGCCACATGTGGCCCAATACAAGTTTGTAAACATTCTTAAAACATTAAGCTCATCAGCTGTCATTAGTGTTAGTATATTTTATGTGTGGCCCAAGACAATTCTTCTTCTTCCATTGTGGCCCAGGGAATACAAAAGATTCGACACTCCTGATTTAAACAAAACCATAAACCACGTTAAAAACAGTGTGCTTGTTCTACAAACACAGCTCCAAGCAAAGACTGCAGCCCCTGGCCCTTTCTATGTAGAGACAGGCTGTCACGGCCAAGCTGTAGAAGCACCTGTTGAGCCAATGCCCTGTCCCTGGGAGTCACTTTTCCATCTTAAAATGCAAGTCAGTTTGGAAAGGGGACTTGGTAGTCTATTAATCTAGTCCTCCCTAGGACGAATTAGTCCCTAAAAGGAACTAACTCTCATCAGGGAACCCAGAAAACAGGAGAACCCTGGACAAACAGGGATGGGGGCAGTCAGTAGCGGAGAAGGAAGGAAAAGTGGTCTGCAACATGAACTCTAAGGAGGGAAAGCCTAGGGGAGGGGCTGTATTAGTCTGTTCTCACGCTGCTAAGAAAGACCTACCTGAGACTGGATAATTTACAAAAGAAAGAGGTTTAATTGAC
Source organism: Homo sapiens (assembly GCF_000001405.40). Taxonomy (NCBI): domain Eukaryota; kingdom Metazoa; phylum Chordata; class Mammalia; order Primates; family Hominidae; genus Homo; species Homo sapiens. The sequence continues at coordinate 72,335,172 of NC_000014.9, read as the reverse complement.
TCACAGTTCCATATGGCTGGGGAAGCCTCACAATCATGGAGGAAGGCGAACGAGGAGCAAAGTCACATGGTGGCAGGCAAGAGAGAGCTTGTGCAGAAGACCTCCTAAGACTTATTCACTATCATGAGAACAGTACAGGAAAGACCTGCCCCCCCATGATTCAATTACCTCCCACTGGGTCCCTTTCACGACACAAGGGAATTATAGGAGGTACAATTCAAGATGAGATTTGGGTGTGGACACAGCCAAACCATATCAGAGGCTGCAGACAGAAAGGGTGTGTGCAGCAGGTAGAAGCATGTGGGTAGCAGTTGAGTGGAAGGGCATCTCTGAGAGCCAAGGGAAGCCTGAGGCAGCCAGACCCTGTGGGGAGATGCTGGAGGGAGGGGAGTCCCTCTAATATTAGTGGGAGTAGGGGGAGAGTCTCATCTGGAAAGCCTTCCTAGTGGCTTCTCTGCAAGTAGTTCTGACCCTTGCTAGTTTCAGGGACACCACTTTCCTCTGAGGTCTCAGTCCCCTCATGAATGAATTAGATGACTTCCATCACGGAACACATTACTGCAAAAAAGTGTTTCAGGCGGACATCCCTCATCTCCCTGAATTCTGAGTGCCTCTGTGGGTGCAATTTGGGTTTCTGAGTGTTTTCAAGTCAATTCAGCCAAGCACCCCTCCCTCCTGCCATCAAGGTGATTGATGGTTTCATGGGGGAGGGGTGAAGAAATGAGGGGGAAGGGAGGGAGCAGAGCCCTGTGGCTTGTCCACCCTATGGGCTTAACCTCCCCACCCCCTGCCCTGCCAGCTTCCCCAGGTTTTTGTAGGCGTCAAACGAGACATATAGGAAGGCTCTTTCCGCAGCTAGGAGGGGCTGTGCTTGGCCCAGCTCCCAGGGCCAGTTGCCCTCCAGATAATTGGGGTTTGGCATGAGCCTTGGGGGTGGGCTCCTGGCTTTGCAGCACTGAGCCTTATGGGGAAGGATGGCCCCATTAAATGTAGGGGTGAGCACACACAAAATCCTTTCCGTTCCCACGGGGCCTCTTTCTGGACAGCAATTATATGCTGGCTTCAGAATTCTCCTGAGGCATTGAAGACTCGGGGGTGTTGGAGATGGAGGTTTAAGGGGAGGTTGTGGGTGAGATGGAGAAAGGCCGGCACAATCCGCATTTGTGGTAACACACGTGCAGCAAAGAGAGAGAGACAACTTCCACTTGAGAACTTCTGACAGATAAAAAGCTTTTGCCAACAGGTAGCTCATTTGGGGATGCAGAGATTTAATGGGAATGGAAATCTGGTGTGCGTATGTGTGTACCTGTTACCTTGCAGTGCTGGAAATAAACCTCAGCCAGTGGGCATCTAGATTGTGCTAGCTCCTCTGGCAGGGAGGGGATGGAGGGTTTTGGGAAGTATGACAACAAAGGTGCTGGCCTCCCCAAGGTCATGGGTGTGATGGTGAGGGCCCTTTCCTGTTTTCTCTAGCACACAGTATGGGTGCTGTAGTGGGGCCCAGAACAAAGCATTTCAGGGCTTAAGCCCAAAACACCAGCTGAAGAAAAGACAATACACAGATTCTGCAACACAGTGAGTGGCTGGGAGAAATGTGATTCTGACAGCGGAAAGTGCCAACCGAGTAAATACAGCAGTGGGAGCTGCATGGAGAGGACAGAAAGAAGAGGGCCAGAGAGCTGCCTGGAGTTCTGAGCATTTGCAAAAGCAGGCCTGACAAGGATCTCCATCGAATGGGGAGGCCACAGCATCCTCCCAGTGAGATACCAACGCAGGTCCCCCACTTCCCTCATCTTTCCCTGGGCTGGCTGTCCTGCCCAGTGACTCAGGCAGGAGCTGACTGCCTTCCCAACTGCCTGTTCAGAGTCTAAAAAGCTCAAGGACAAAGCCTCAACCTAACAGCTTTATTTGACTTGATATCATGATATTCACATTTTCCCCCGGAAATGATCATTTGCCAGGAATAGCATTTCAATTACTGTGCATCCTCCAAGCATCTCCCATTCCCAAGAAGGGATAGATGAGGTAGGAGTGGGAACCTGCCCTGAAACCCACAGTGGGGTGGAGTCCCATAGACCAAGAGGCAGCCTGGCCCCCTGTGGTGAGATTATGCGTGTGAAATGCCCACTGCTGTGTTCTCCATACCATGAGGGACCGGCTTTAAACTGCAGACTGCCACACAAATTCAGCCCTGCCCCTGACTAGCTATATAACCATGAGGGTTTCGCTGCACCCGTGTGCCTCTGTTTCCTTCAGTAAAATGAGAGGATTCCAGTGGCTTCTAAAATCCTCTCCAGCTCTTGCAATCTCTATGACTTCTTCCTCCAAATATATGCAGGTCCCATCTCCCTGGGAGATATATGGAATGCTGTTTTCCCCGAGGAAGGCTTTTCCCCAGATGCCTCCATCTCTTGCCACAGCCCCCACCCTCTCCTTGGTAGGAGAGAAAGGAAGCTCACCTGAAAAGTGAGATGAGACAAGGAGAGGTGGAAGAATTGGCCCTGGCTTCCTGTGAGGAGCTGGGTGCTTGCAGAAGGTATGGCTCCTTTCCGTTCCCTGCACCAGGGTACAGGGACCCAAGATCCTGCCTCCTGGCATGAGGCAGATGGGTTTCCAGCACTGGTCATGGAAGTGTGTCTCTACTCTGGGGTTCCTAGTTGGGACATCCAGTGTCACTCTCCCCCTGTTCTCTGAGAGGTCAGTTGGTGACAAAAGTGATGTTTTGATCTCCATCCATCTCACTGCTTTCCCTTTTTCTCTCATTGGTTCCAAATTCAGATGGGAACTGGGGGTGTTATGAAATGGACTCTCTAAAACCCCAACAATAATCCTGGCATTCACAGCATGCAGGCAAACCTACCGCCTGGCCTGGAAGATGGCCAACGCTCTTTTTTGGCAAAGCGTTCAGGACTCTGCAAAACTCCTCTCTAGTTTGTGAACCATCTGGAGCTGGGAGGAGCTTAGTTCAAGTTGTTCTCAAGGAGACCTGGTTCTGGCAGCAGCCCACCGTGTCTGTCAGACGGTTTCCCCAGCCAAGAGGAAGCTCTGGGGCCACAGGCTGCACCTCCTAAGGAACTTGGGCTCAACAGTGTCTAGCCAGATGCTGAGCCAAGAGTCCCTTCGGTTAAATAATTCACAGGCCACCTCTGGGTGTGTAAATACAGCCCTGTCTAATGCGGGCTAACAGGTGATTTTACACATCATTTAACTCTTTGCAGGGCTGAGGAATGCAACAGAGATTAGATAATTGGAATAATTTCACATTTGTATACAGCTTTTTTCTCTAAGGGACAAAGTATCGCAGACATGAACTGTAAAAGAAGCATGCATCTGGATAGTCCACGGAGAAAAACAAAATTGGGTGTTTGTTACGAAAATGAATTGGCCACTCCTTCCCTTCCTCTCCTCCATGCAGGGTGAGTGGCCTTGAAGAAGGGTGCCCAAGGCCAGTGGGAGGTATCACCAGAGCTCTGTGCTAAAGAAAGTGCCTGGAGGCAGTCAGAGAAAAAGAGGGGGAGAGAGTGAATGACTGGAATGGAGAGAGAGAGAGAGAGGATGATGACACAAGGACAGTACCCACGGGCTATGGAACTGCGGTCTCAAAGGGACCCTGGAGCCCCAGGTGAGGCAGCTCCCGGCCGACACCAAGTGGAGATGCAGCTGTGGCTTTCTGCGCTGCACTCCCGGGGCAATTGTCTCCACTGAATACTGCACCATATTCCACCCTCTATAATAAAAACTTCGTTGGGCATTCCCATACTGTAAAGCAGGGGACATTAACCCTGCAAGAATACAGTCTGTTGGCTTAGTTTATTCCAAGGTTATAAACAAAATCCTAATGCCTGCCCACCTCTCTAACAAACTGCTACGCACTGTAAGGAAAGTGTTCAAAAACCAAATAGCTCATTTTTTTTTTTTTTTTTTGAACGACAGGGTGGTTTTAAGCTCGGTGATGATGATTTACGACAGCAGGCCAGGGCAGATGCTAAGAGAAAATGAAACAGGTGGACCCAGATCTTGAGTCTTCCTGACCTCCACTTTTGGCCAGGTGACCTTGTGTCCTCTGTGTCTAACAGAATCCTGGCGGAATCTGCTGCCTTAGTCACATCCCTCTACAGACTGATCCTCCAGAGGGACTCGGCCGAAAGCCCTCTCTGGCCTGGGCCAGATGCTCTGTCTATGTTGTCAATGAGGAACTGATTAACTGGATCAGAGGAGGCCCCTCAAAGGTACCCTGCAGACCACTGGGCTTTGGAAACAGCACAGAGTGACAGAAACGTGCAGCTTGTCTGGGAAGATGGGGCACACCAAAAACTTAAAATGTCTCAGAAAAAAAAAATCTCTGCAGGTGTCAGTCAAAAGCTGGGATGGAACCCTCATCCCAGTGTTACGATAATGAATTGGCCACTCCTTCTCTAGGTCCCACAAGGGGCCTGCTGTGAGAGGGTTTGGAATTCATTCTGACAAGCATGCAATATTAATTTTAAATGTGGGCCCTGTGGATCTGAAATGAAATATCGTGTCACTAACACAGATTTTAAATCCCACTCTGCAGAGGTAATATGAAAAGTTAATGCCCTTTTGGAGGAATCAAACTCAGACACATGGCAAAACCCTTGATTTTTCAACCTCCCTATGACCTCCCTGGCACAAGGAAGGTGGGTATTCAGTAAGAGGGTATTGGGCCTCCTTGAGTCTCCAATTTTTCTCAGTTAATGAGTGTTCAGGGTGCTGCTGGTTCTCGAGAACTTCTTCTCCATTTACAGTCACTGCTAATAGCTGAAGGGTGCAGTGAGGTCCACCCAAATGACAGATGCTCAGGAAAGATGAGAAGGACTTGGAATACCTGCTCCTTTGCAGAAGTGTTGCTCCCTGTCCGGTGCCACTCTGATATCACCGGCTTGTGTGTTACACACACTCAGTGGGCATTTAGTACATGCATTTACAGCATTAATTGTCAAGGACAAAGACTGACAAATGGGGGAGAACTGGACCGGAAGGTTTCAAACCATCATCCTGGGTTGGGATCCCAATGGTAGATCCTAGTGAGGCAACACCCCTGATGCTGGAGAAATATTTGCTTCTACAATCTCGGTCCCTCACTAACGTTGACTGTGAACCTGCTGTTGGGTGCTGTGAAGAACACAAAAATGGACATGATGCCATCCAAGTTTATAGTTCACCACGGAGGAGGCTTCACTCTACTTGAAAGTTTGGCACAGTAGCCTTTGACCTCAGAATTCACTGAGTAGAGAAGGGCAGGAGACTGTGTAGCCAGAGGTGGGGAGAGGGGCTGCCCTGTGATGTCTCCCGGCAGTTCTCAGGGCCCCATCTAGGAGACAGTTGCACATGTCCCTTCCTCCTCAGGTGGGCAGCCCCTCCCTCTTTGTTCTCCAGGTGCTCATTGCCCTTAGACTGCCTCCAAGATCTGTCACACAGCTGCTCCACCTGGCTCACCCTACGCAAAGAGTGCTTCCACACTATGGGTTTAGCCAACTTGATCTTGACGCTTAAATGAACCTTTACCAGGCCCCATAATTCCAGAGTTCTTCTCTTTTCCTAAAATGAAAACACTTGCATGTTGCTAATTAGTTGATACCTGCTTTCCTTAGAAAAGGACTTACTGGACAGACAATGCCAGTTTAAGCCTACTCAGGACAGTGCCCACCTGGGAGGATGTGGTGTGGACCTTGGCCACCAGGCCGCCTGCCTCTGTGCTTTCCACAACCACTCCCTCTGAGCAGGTGATGCTGTGTCCACTGGCATGCTGCCTTGCCCACCTGGAGTGTGAGGGGCCCAAGAGACTTGGCACCAGGGAGTGGTTGGAGATTTTATCTGGTTTATTGTCCCTCAATAAGATTTTACCCAATAAGGATTAATAAGAAGCGCCGTGAAGCATGTGTTCATGCATGTGCATATGTATGTGTGTGCATGTAAATGAGAATGGACAAGAGAATTTTCATGAAAACTTCCCAACATCTAAAATAACAAATAGTGTTGGTTGGGCACAGTGGCTCACGCCTGTAATCCCAGCACTTTGGGAGGCTGAGGTGGGTGGATCACCTGAGGTCAAGAGTTTGAGACCAGCCTGACCAACATGGTGAAACGCCATCTCTACTAAAAAATATAAAAAATTAGCCAGGTGTGGTGGTGGGCACCTGTAATCCCAGCAATTTGGGAGGATGAAGCAGGAGAATCGCTTGAACTAGGGTGGCAGAGGTTGCAGTGAGCCAAGATCGTGCCATTGCACTCTAGCCTGGGCAACAACAGTGAAACTCTGTCTCAAAAAATAAATAAATAAAATAAAATAAGAAATAGTATATGCAAGTGAGTATTGTATATATTTCACATTTTTCTCAGTAAGATTTTTAATGTATTTTGGGAGAATAGCTTAAAATGTCTGCATTTTGTGACTTCTTCAATCTCACACCCATTTCGTCTTGTTCCTAACAGCTCTCAGGCCTTCCAGAGGACTCTGTTGGTTTGGGGTACGTAGAATGGGACCTCACAATGATGTCTGTCCTCCTTGGTATCCTGTCTCCAGTTAGTCAACGTGGCCACCAGTTCACTGGTGGGGCCTTAGAGAGGGAAAGGAAATTACTCTTTATGAGTCATGCCTACCCCCTTCACTTCAGTTTCTTCTCCTAAATGGCTTGGTGATCTAGTGATTTGGGCCATTGTTTCATCTCCCTATTAATTTGTGTAGACCGTGAAAGTAGGAACCATTTCTTGCTCCTTGCACAGAGTGTTTGATACTTTTCCAAAAATATTTGTTGAGTGCTTATTATGTACTGGGTGCTTTTCTAGATGGACTTTATGCATTCTAGTCAGTGTCTGTGATGGTTAATTTTATGTGTCAACTTGACTGGGTTATGGGGTGCCCAGATAGCTGGTAAAACATTATTTCTGGGTATGACTGTGAGTGTGTTTCTGAAAGAGAACAGCATTTGAATCAGTAGATTGAGTAAAGATTACCCTCACTGGTGTGGGCAAGCATCTTCCAATCCATTGAGGGTTCAGATAGAACAAAAAGAAGGAGGAGGGGTAAATTCCCTCCTTCCCTTGACCTGGGACATCCAGCTTTTCTCCTGCCCTGGGACATCAGAGCTGCTGGTTCTTGGGCCTGTGGACTCATGCTGAATTTTACCACTGGCTTTCCTGCTTCTCTAGCTTGGAGATGGCATATGTGGCACTTCTCAGCCTCTACAAACACGTGAACAAATTCCCACAATAAATCCTTATATATATATATCTATATATCTAGGCTATATCCTATTGTTATATATAACGTAAATCCTATTCTGTTTCTCTGGAGAACCTAATACAGCACCTCTGTGAGCTATTAAATAGTTATTCCCATTTCACAAGTGATACTGTGGAAGCCTGCAGAAGTCATAAAACATCTCCAGTGACAAACGGCTGCTAAGTCACAGTCAGGAGGGACAGAACCCAGGCATCTCAAGTCCACAGCCAATACATAATTATGCTCTAGCAGCTTTAGTCCTTCAAATCTTTTTCTAGTCGTGCCAAGGACTGGTGAATATCTAGACTTGGCTCTGAATAAAAAGCATCACTTTTACAACAGGGAAAGAAGTACACCTGACTGGTGATGTACGCTGCTCTCTCTTTTACTTAATTATGCCTTAAGGAAGCCAGATGTTTAAACCATTCAGGTATGACAAGAAAATTAAAAACACAGCAAAGCACAATAATGCACCTTATTAAGTTGTAATAGTTAGATGCAGCTTACTTTAATTCTGGGGGGAAAGAAGCGGAGGGCATTTACTAAGCAATTACATGTAATTTCCAGGTACTTTCCCATGATTATCTCATGTAGCTCTGATCACACCCTGGGATGGGGGAGTTCTGACAGTCCCTGCTCCACAGAGAAGGCAGCTGGCCTGCAGTTTGCTCTAGGTCACAAAGCTGGAGGTAGCAGATGTGGAGTTTGAATTGGGATCTAAGTTAATTTAAAATTGATTAACTTTTTGAATAGGTAATACATATACACATAAAAAAATTAACAGATAAAAAAGGGGATACATTAAAAAATACTTTTTATCACCAACCCTGGCCATTTAAGTCCCCTCCCAAGAGGCATCTACTGTAATCAGGTTCTAATGTATACGTGTTAGGCCACTCTTTCATTGCTATAAAGAAATACCTGGCCGGGCGCAACGGCTCACACCTGTAATCCCAGCACTTTGGGAGGCCGAGGTGGGCAGATCACGAGGTCAGGAGATTGAGACCATCCTGGCTAACACAGTGAAACCCCATCTCTATTAAAAATACAAAAAATTAGCCGGGCATGGTGGCGGGCGCCTGTAGTCCCAGCGACTCGGCAGGCTGAGGCAGGACAATGGCGTGAGCCCGGGAGGTGGAGCTTGCAGTGAGCCGAACCAAGATCACGTCACTGCACTCCAGTCTGGGGGACAGAGCGAGACTCCATCTCAAAAGAAAGAAAAAAATACCTGAGACTGGGTGATTTATAAGAAAAGAGGTTTAACTGGTTCATGGTTCTTCAGGCTGTACAGGAAGCACAGTGCTGGCATCTGCTTCTGGGGAGGCCTCAGGAAGCTTACAGTCACCGCAGAAGGCAAACGGGTAGCAGGTATTTCATGTGGTAGGAGCAGAAGCAAGGAGGAGTGTGTGGTACCACACACTTAAACAACCAGATCTTGTGAGCACTCACTCACTATTGCAAGGACAGCACCAAGACATAAGGGGTCTGCCCCCATGACCCAAACACCTCCAACACTGGGAATTACATTTCATCATGTGATTTGCGCAGGGACAAATATCCAAACTCTATCAGTATACTTTCAGGGCATTTTATTCATACACAAGCATATATTTATATAATAATTATTACTATTGCCATTTTACAATAATGGTAACATACTCTATGATGCTGTCAGCACTTTGTTTTCTTAGAGATTATATCCTTCGTGGACATAGGATTTCTTTCTCTAAATTGACCAGACCTTTGTGGTAATGAATGTATATTGGCCAGCATTTGGTGGTTTGTAATCTTTGGTTCTCACAAACAATATGACAAAGCATATTCATGTACATACATCATTCACACAAGTGCAAGTACACACAATTGCACAAGTGTAATGTAGGAGGAATTCCTAGAAGTGAAATTTCTGAGTCAGGAGATACATGCAAGTTGCATGATAAATACTGGCAATTTGCTCCTAATCAACATTGTACCAATTCATGGGTCCACCAAAGATGTATGAGGGTACCTTATTTCCCTACAGTGTTGCCAACAATGTGTGATTAAACTTTTTGATCCTTGTCAATGTGAAATCTGGCAGGCTTTTTTTTTTAAATCAGCATCTCTCAGTAGTCTTAATATACATTTATTGTGAGTGAGACTGTGCATTTTTTCAATGGTTTACATCATGTTTCTTTCTTTTTGGGAAGTACCTATTTATATTATTTGCCCTATCTATTTCCACTGGGTTGTTTTTTAATTTTATTCAAGAGATTTTTAACATGTTAAGAAGAATAGTCCTTTGTCAAAACTGACAAAAATAAGAAATGGGGAAAGGATTCTCTATTTAATAGATGGTGCTGGGAAAACTGGCTAGCCATATGTAGAAAGCTGAAACTGGATCCCTTCCTCACACCTTATACAAAAATTAATTCAAGACGGATTAAAGACTTAAATGTAAGACCTAAAACCAAAAAAACCCTAGAAGAAAACCTAGGCAATACCATTCAGGACATAGGCATGGGCAAGGACTTCATGACTAAAACACCAAAAGCAACGGCAACAAAAGCCAAAATTGAGAAATGGGATCTAATTAAACTAAAGAGCTTCTGCACAGTAAAAGAAACTACCATCAGAGTGAACAGGCAACATACAGAATGGGAGAAAACGTTTGCAATGTACCCATCTGACAAAGGGCTAATATCCAGAATCTACAAAGAACTTAAACAAATTTACAAGAAAAAATCAAACAACCCATCAAAAAGTGGGTGAAGGATATGAACAGATACTTCTCGAAAGAAGACATTTATGCAGCCAACACACATGAAAAAATGCTCATCATCACTGGCCATCAGAGAAATGCAAATCAAAACCACAATGAGATACCATCTCACACCAGTTAAAATGGCGACCATTAAAAAGTCAGGGAACAACAGGTGCTGGAGAGCATGTGGAGAAATAGGAACACTTTTACACTGTTTGTGGGGCTGTAAACTAGTTCAGCCATTGTGGAAGACAGTGTGGTAATTCCTCAAGGATCTAGAACTAGAAATACCATTTGACCCAGCCATCCCATTACTGGATATATACCCAAAGGATTATAAATCATGCTGCTATAAAGACACATGCACACGTATGTTTATTGCGGCACTATTCACAATAGCAAAGACTTGGAACCAACCCAAATGTCCATCCATGATAGACTGGATTAAGAAAATGTGGCACATATACACCATGGAATACTATGCAGCCATAAAAAAGGATGAGTTCATGTCCTTTGTAGGGACATGGATGAAGCTGGAAACCATCATTCTCAGCAAACTATCGCAAGGACAGAAAACCAAACACCGCATGTTCTCACTCATAGGTGGGAATTGAACAATGAGTACACTTGGACACAGGGTGGGGAACATCACACACTGGGCCTGTTGTGGGGTAGGGGGATGGGGGAGGGATAGCATTAGGAGATATACCTAATGTAAATGGCGAGTTAATGTGTGCAGCACACCAACATGGCACATGTATACATATGTAACAAACATGCACGTTGTGCACATGTACCCTAGAACTTAAATTAAAAAAAAAAGAATAGTCCTTTGTAAATGATTTTTCTCAGTATATCATTTTCTGATTTTGTTTATGGTGTTTGTGCTTGTTAATTTTTTTCTAAAGAGGTATTCAGTTGTTTCAATAACATTTTTGAATAGACTGATTTTTTTATTGATATGTAAATAAAAAATTTGTCATATGTAGTTTGGTCTATTTCTAGACACTTACATAGAGCTTCCTGGTTGTTAGGATATAGAGATATAAATGAATAATATCTAGTATTTGATAGCACAACAGGGTGACTGCAGTCAGTGACAATTTGTAATACATTTTAGAATAACGAGAGAGTACAGTTGGAATGTTTGTAACACAAAGAGGTAATGAGTGCTTGAAGTGATGGATACTCTATTTACCCTAATGTGATGATTACATATTGTATGTCTGTATCAAAATATCTCAAGTACCCCATAAATATATACACCTACTATGTGGCCATAAAAATTAAAAATAAAAAAAGATATGGAGACATATATATTTTAACTTCTGTAGTTTTACAATAGTTTTTTTTTTTTTTTTTTTTTTTTTTTTTTTTTTTTTTTTTGAGATGGAGTCTCACTCTGTCACCCAGGCTGGAGTGCAGTGGCGCCGCTGGGCTCACTGCAACCTCCGCCTCCCAGGTTCAAGCAATTCTCCTGCCTAAGCCTCCCAAGTAGCTGGGATTACAGGTGCCCACTACCACACCCAGCTAATATTTGTATATTTAGTAGAGACAGGGTTTTACCATATTGGCCAGGCAGGTCACGAACTCCTGACCTCAGGTACCCGGACTACAATACATTTTAATATTTGATAGGGCTAATCCCCCTTTCTTAATTTTCCTTTGTCAGAAACTTTTGGGTTGGGCTTCCTTATTTGTTCTTGAACTTTAGAATCTACCCCTGTAGATTCTATTGTTTTTTTTTTTATTGCATTGCATTACCTGTATAACTTAATTTAGATAAGACATCTTTATGTTAAACAGAGTATGCCTTTCCATTTGTTTAAGTCATTTTTCATGTTTCTCAGTAGCATTTAAAAATTTTATTTGTGTAATTTGGGCACATTTCTTGTTAAATTTATTCTTATTGTAAATGGGATCTCTTCAGTTATATTTTCTAACCAGTTTCTGTTTGTGGAAAGATTAACATGAGTAGTATTTTTGTACTCAATCACCTAAGTGTATTTCCTTATTGTTTATACTATTTTTTCCATGTGATTCTTTGTGTTTTACAGTACATAATCATATCATCTGCATATATGATAATTTTAACTCCTGGTTAAAATTACTCTGCTTATTTTTTTCTTTTGTTTACTTAGGCTAGCTAGGCTCTCTGGAGCAATAATGTTAATTAATGCTATTGATTAAGGTATCTTTCCTTGTAGCCGACATTAATGACACTTTCTTCAGCAGTTGTATCAGTAGCTTTGGGACCATGTTACTAAGTATGTATTGGTATATGTATGTGTGTATGTCTCTGTCTGTATAATAAAATAGCATTTTATTATGAGTTTTTCATCAAGATTAGAGAATTTTATCAAACACCTGTTCAAGTATTTATGGAGATGATAAAGTGATTCTTAATTTTGACAATATTTTATGAATTAAATTAATACAGTTGTGAATTTTGAAATAGTCTTACTTTTTTAAGACTAAATCCCATTTGAACATAGCAAATTCTTGTCTTTGTGAGCTCTTAGATTTGTTTTCTAATATTTTAATTAGGATTATTTACACTGATATTCATAAGCAATATTGGTCCTTAGTTTGCTTTTTTGTGTGCTCTATTTATCAGAATATGCATGATGCATGCTAGCTTCAGAAAAATAACCTGGATGCTTTCACTTGGTTTAAATAATATTGGACCTATTTTTTCCTTATAGGTTTGGTAGAAGTAATCTGTGAAATATTCCAGGACTGGTGTTTTCTTTCAAGAGGTTTGCTTTTTCTCCACATTCTGTATTTCTTCTATACTAATTCATTTCCTTAGATTGTTGTTTTCTCTCCATCTGGGGTCATGCCTGGTAATTTTATATTTTCCTAGAAAATAACTTATTGGCAACCATTTTGGTTTGTTTACTAATGATTTATTGATTTTTCATAAAGAGCTAACTTAAAGATTTATTCTTTTTTCCTATTTTCTGCTTTTATTATCATAGCTACCTTATATTTTCCTGAGGTTAACTTTATTTTTCTTATATTTAATTTCGTGAGTAGAAGACATATGCACTGATTTCCTTTATTTTTTGTTCATTAATTTAAGTACTTACGTATACAAATTTTCTTTTGAGCAAATGCTTTAGTTGAGCCCATAGGATATGTAATGTGGTTATAATCATTATCATTAATTTTAAATATTCTATACATTCACATGGATTCCTTTTTGACTCATAGTGATTAGAGGACAATATCAGTGTGATTTCTGATTTGGGGAGTTTATTTAGGTTTTCTGTGTGGTCTAAAGTATAGTCAGTTCTGGGAAACGTTTTATGGACATCTGAAAGGATGACATATTTTTAGTTTTCAGGGATAGATTGATATATGTAACTTTACTACTTACTTATGTTATTTAGGCCATCTATGTCATCTTTTGGGTCTATTTTGTCTGTTAAGCCTCCTATAATTAAAGTCTTTCTATTTTTCCTTATCTTTTTGGTAGTTTTTGCTTAACTTTTCAGGCTACGTTGATACAGAAACACTTAATGACTATTAGATCTTCCTTGTGAATGATACATCTTATCACACAATTGTCTTTATGTTTCTTGTTTAATGCTTTTTGTTCTAAATTCAACCTTGTTTTATTCTAAGATTATTGGCCTCTACTTTCCTTTTTGTTGGCATTTGATAATATTCCTTTGCTCATCCTTCTATTTTCAAGTTTGCGAGACACTTTGCTTTAGGTATATATGGGGTATAGCATATGGTTAAGTTTTACTTTATTACTCGATTTCAGAATCTTTTTTTTTAATATGGGAGTTTAGCCCACTTTTATTTGTTGATATGAGAAACAGGTTTGGTCTTACTTTATAGTATTTTGATTTCTGTTTCTATTGCTTTTTTAAAAAAATCTTCTACTCTTTGGTCTATATTTTCTTTTTGTGAGTATTCCTTGTGCTATTTGGGCAGGTTTGTATTATGGTTAATTTTTCCAGTGATCACCTTTGTAACTAACCCTTATTTAGCTATTTAACTTCTCTGTTTCTTGAAACACTGACATTTTACTTTCCACTAAAAGCAATACAAATTGTTCTTTATTTTCTCTTCCTTCTATCACTTGAATTTGGTTAATAGGCACTAAACATTGGTTTAATATATATTATATGTTTACATATTAAACATGTACCTTATATATTACATATATATTTCAAACTAACATATATGTTCATTCCTACACTTATTTTTGTATATTTAAATATACTTAGTATATTTAGTAAATATATTAATTTACTAATATACTTCAGTAAATATATTAATTTACTAATATACTTTAGTAAGTATGCTAAGTATATTTAAATATACTTGATTTATCATGTTTAAATGAGATGATGAATGAATCTACATACCACCTTCCACCTTATCCTTATATTAGTTAAAATATTTATGAACATTCAGAGCTTAGTTTTTTTTTTCTATAACAAAAGTTTCTGCACTTATTTAGACCCAGTCTAAAAGCAAAACAGACTCAGTGTTCACTGAAAATCCTTTTGCCATGGTTTCTTCATTCATCTCTTAGATAAAGTCTTTAATAGTTTTTTATTTTTTATTTTTTAATTTTATTTATTTTTTTGAGACAGAGTCTTGCTCTATTGCCCAGGCTGGAGTGTAGTGGTGTGATCTCTGCTCACTGCAAGCTCTGCCTCTCGGGTTCACGCCATTCTCCTGCCTCAGCCTCCCAAGTAGCTGGGACTACAGGTGCCCGCCACCACGCCCAGCTAATTTTTAATTTTTTTGGTAGAGATGTGGTTTCACCATGTTAGCCAGGATGGTCTCGATCTCCCGACCTCGTGATCCACCTGCCTCAGTCTCCCAAAGTGTTGGGATTACAGGTGTTAGCCACCACGCCCAGCCAATAGTTTTTTAAAGAATAACTCATGGGAATCATCTTCTCTGGGTTCTTAAATGTTGGACACGTTTTATTTATTGTTTTTACATTTGAATGACAGTTTGGCTGTGCATAAAACTCTAAGGCCACATACTTTTTCACTGAGGGCTTCATGGGCATTACTCTCTGCAATCTTGGAATGTTGCTGTAAGGAAGGCTTAGGTTAGCCTGAGGTTTTTTTTAAACTGTGGTCTTGTATAGGTTACTTGATATTCCTGCTGGTGTGACCAAATCATTCTTATCTCCAAGATCTATCAATACATCTATAATACAGAGTAGTATTGATTGTTCTTTAGCAAATTTTCTGTAACATAGTAGACTCCTTCAATCTATAAATTCAAATCTTTTATTTATTGAAAGTTACGTAGAATTATATCTTTGTTTATGTTTCATTTGTTTAATTCTCTTCTTCAGGGATATATTGTGATGTATCTCTGGGATCTTCCTCGTCACCCAAATATACTATTTTCTTTCTAATACTTTTAAGCTGTTGTTTCCGTTTTGTTTGCTTTGATAATCCTGCCCATCATATCCTCTATTCTATGTTCGGCAGTGTCTAGTGTCTATTTTACTTTGGCTGCTTCAAAATCATCTTCATATCTGTGATGATTTTCCCCCTTCAGGCCGGGTGCGGTGGCTCACGCCTGTAATCCCAGAACTTTGGGAGGCTGAGGCAGGCAGATCATGAGGTCAGGAGATCGAGACCATAGTAAAACCCCATCTCTACTAAAAAATACAAAAAAATTAGCCGGGCATGGTGGTGGGTGCCCCTGTAGTCCCAGCTACTTGGGAGGCTGAGGCAGGAGAATGGCGTGAACCCGGGAGGTGGAGGTTGCAGTGAGCCGAGATCACGTCACTGCACTCCAGCCTGGGCAACAGGGCGAGACTCCGTCTCAAAAAAAAAAAAAAAAATTTCCCCCTTCAGTTCTCTGGAGAGCTACATCAGTGTATGTTTCTTCTCTTCTCACGTCACCATATTACCCCTGACCTCTTTATTTCTGTTTTGAGCTCTTTGGTGGTTTCTTTAAGTCGTCAAGATCATGGTAATGTTATCTTTTGATTTGTCTGTTGGAATCACCTATAGTGAGTGTTCTGCATTTACCATCTATTTTCCAGTTTTTTCTCCTTTTATATTATAATATCTTTGTAGTGTCATGTATGGCATATTACAATATCCTGTGCTGGTTCCTTTTTATTGTTACTTTCCTCTGAATGTGGAAACTTCTTGATTCAGATATTTAGAGGACAGTTTTGTGGGATAGGAGTCAGGATGTTGTGAGTTGGTAAAAATTTACCTGATTTACTGTTAAGTCTTATTACAAAGGGTTGTGTGCTGATGAGTTATTTTAGCCACTGCTTCTTCTCGGCCAACAGGCTGCCGTAGTGCCACAACAATGGACTGCTTCCTATACACACAGGATGACTGTGCATTTCCCTTTCAGTTTCATTTGCTACTACATGGTAGCAGGTAGGGTCCAGGGAGGTTTTCTACTTCCAGTCTTGCAATACCCTTGCCATTTTCCAAACAAAGGCTTATTGGCGTCATCCTTTAGGGTATGCCTGCTCTGAAGTACCAGTTTTGGAGACGTGTTTTTTGCTTGCTTTGTCAAAATCTATAACCTGATCATAGTGATTGTCTCTTAGCCCTTCCTGAGCTTTCGTTCCACTGCATTTGGCCAGCCTTACGTCATATATTGTGGTTCATGGATATAGAATCTCCCAGCTTTTTGAAAGCAAAATTTATGCTTTTCACTCATTTTTCTGTTTTATGATTGTGAGGGCTAATACTGAGTGTCAACTTGATTGGATTGGAGGGTGCAAATTATTGATCTTGGGTGTGTCTGTGAGGGTGTGGCCAAAGGAGATTAACGTTCAAGTCAGTGAGCTGGGAAAGGCAGACCCATCCTTAATCTGGGTGGGCACCATCAAATCAGCTGCCAGCATGGCCAGCATGTAAACCAGGGAGAAAAATGTGAAAAGGCTAGACTGGCTGAGCCTCCCACCTTACATCTTTCTACTGTGCTGGATGCTTCCTGCCCTTGAATATCAGATTCCAAGTTCTTCAGCTCCAAGTTCTTGGGCTGAGGTGGGATCTTTCCCTCCCCACTGTACACTGAGCAATAGAGGGTGGTGAGGGGTGAGGGAGCCACGCTGCTGAATTCTGGTTGGCATTCCCAGCTGTGTAAAATGGGGTGTTGGGGTGGGGCAGCCTCTGCTTGGGTTTGGTTATAAGATAAACCTGGAGGAAAAGTACAGTTGCCCCCACTGAATTATTTGAGCAAAAACTATTGTAAATAACTTCTGTTTTTGTCTTTTGTCAAATAAAATCGTTTGGGACTTGGACTGGCTTCCTTGCCCCTCAGCTTGCAGACAGCCTATTGTGGGACCTTGTAATCGTGTAAGTTAATACTACTTAATAACCTCCCCTTTCTATATATATCTGTCCTATTAGTTCTGTCCCTCTAGAGAACCCTGACTAATACAATGATTTTCAAGAGGAAACTGGGAAGAGCTTCTTTTCTGATGACATCTTAAAATTTAAGATGCTCCATGCTGTTTTTACTACATCAAAGCTTATAACAGACTCGGTTTTCTTTCCATTTTAACATTTACAATGGCCATTTTACAAATCAACACAACACAGGAGGCTGGAGGGAAAAAGAAACAACAACAAAAAATCCAAATCAAGTATTGACCTTCGAGCCCCTAAGAATGTCAGGAAGCACTTGGCTAGAATCACTAGGTAAATTTGCGAAGGCCTTCGACAATGGAAATAGAGAGTCGAGGCAAACGTGCACATTTTCACCATTCATAAGCCCCTAAGGAAGCTTCTCTAGGAAGTAAAATCATTGACCTTTTAATTCTGGAAGGACACTGGTGTGAGATTAAAAAGGGACCATAAAAGATGAATCTAGACAGAAAATTAGAACACTTTAACCTCAGTTGTTATATATTTCATCAAATTCCCTCAATCTGCAAGTCTTAAATAATTCTATTATTATTATTATTGTTATTATTATTGGCAGCAATACCACTGAGTGCTTACTTTGTGCCTGATCCTGTGCCAAATGCCCCTCAAATCTCTATGAGATAAAACTACTCTTATCCTCAATCATATATGAGGAAATGTGTGCAAGGCTAACTAATGAGCTCAAGGTCACATAACCAACCAGTGCTACAGCCAGCATTAGAACCCAGTTCTGCCTGACTTTTGCATCTTTTGTTGTAATTGCTGTAAGTGATCAGTTACCAAATTTACACTATTATCTTAATAGAGTTGCATTCTCCATTTTCAAAGGAACATTGACCTGAGTGATATGTGAAATACACACACACACACACACACACACACACACACACACACACTTCACCTGCTTTCAATTCTCTATACCTAGGGAACAGTTTATAAGCTAGTAGCTACCAGATGGCCACTTTGAGAAGTTCAGGTTTACTGATTTGGCCATGTATTTTGCTATGCAGAAAAAAAATAATGCCAATCAATGATTGGAATACAATAAGAGATGATTATTCTTGTGTAATAAGGAATGCAATGGCAGGCAGCCTAGGGCTAGGGAATCTATTTGAGAATATCATCAAGCTCATGGAACCAACCCAAATGT
Organism: Homo sapiens; assembly: GCF_000001405.40. Lineage (NCBI taxonomy): Eukaryota > Metazoa > Chordata > Mammalia > Primates > Hominidae > Homo > Homo sapiens. The sequence goes on along the minus strand of NC_000014.9, from coordinate 72,316,642 downwards.
CCATCAATGATAGACTGGATTAAGAAAATGTGGCACATATACACCATGGAATACTATGCAGCCATAAAAAAGGATGAGTTCATGCCGTTTGTAGGGACATGGATGAAGCTGGAAACCATCATTCTCAGCAAACTATCACAAGGACAGAAAACCAAACACCGCATGTTCTCACTCATAGGTGGGACACGAATGATGAGAACACTTGGACACAGGGTGGGGAACATCACACACTGGGGCCTGTTGTGGGGTGGGTGCATGGGGGAGGGATAGCATTAGGAGAAATACCTAATGTAAATGATGAATTAATGGGTGCAGCAAACCAACATGGCACATGTATACATATGTAACAAACCTGCACATTGTGCACATGTACCCTAGAACTTAAAGTATAATTTAAAAAATAAAAAAAATAAAAAGACAAAAGAGAATATCGTCAAGCAACTTGACTTCTTTTACTTCTTGTTTCAACAATCTTAACCATGTATTTCCTTCTGATTGTTAGAGGGTGGTTGCTGCATGTCTTGAAAGTGACTCTTCTTTCCATGAAGGAAGAAAAGGAACAACAAACGGTAAAGGGCAAAGAAGCTTTACCTACTTGGGGAGAGAGAAATGTTCCCCAGGGAATTCTGCCTATGCATGGTTGGACAGAACTGTGTATTTGGGCTACCCCAAGCCAAGCCACAGGAGGCTGGGGATTTGTGGTTTCTGGCCTCTGTGGTAGAAGTAGACAAGATAGAGTGGGGGTGGAACAAGAGTTAAGTGGGCCAATCTGCTGAGTCTGCCACACTGCCTGGGAAGAACTTACTTGTGTAAATAAGTGGTGAAAGGTCTTCCTTTCTTCCTAGCCCATGTGGCTCTGGACTAGTTACAACCTCTAAGGGTCTTGGCTCTTCATCTGGAAAAGCAGAGCTAGGAACCCTACAGGGCTGGGCGAGAATGTAATGATCTATGCTTATAAAATTACCTAATCTGGCGCCTGGCACATAAACATTAGCTCTTAAACAACACTGGTAGGTTCAATAACATTCCACTCTGTTAAAACTACTAATTAACTTAGGAGTATCAAACACTCTTGCTAAAAATAAAAGATTCCCCAGAAAAATGCAGGGGGATTTATTTTGTCAACAGTGAATTACAGTTCTCTCCAGGGCAGCTATTATTCAGTTCACCTACAGATTTCATGATTTATTCAATGTTTCGACTACTGACTAAACATGTAGCAGGTGCTATATACTTCCAATTTACTGCCCGGAGCATTTAAAGAAAACACAACAAAAAAGTTTTGCACAATATCCCATAGCTAAAAAGGAAGAAGCCAGTGTAAACGTTATTTCAAGTATCTCTAACAGAAACATATTTACATTTCCAGACTCTGTTATTTCTCTACCTTGGACTGAATTATCCCGCACAGCTTCCCTGCCATGGTAACTGCATGTGGTAATTGCAGTGGAGAAATTCCTTCTTGGCTTTTGTTTCTAATCTCTCAGCTGATATTTACATATGTTTTAAACTCTGATCTTGCTTTAGGAAAGTGAGTTTAATAAATTACTAAAGGCATCCAAATACGATCTTCATACGTAAATAGTTTCTACCAAAAAATAAACTGGCTGTGGTTTGAAGAGCAGCAGAGTGGGGGAAGGATAGCTTAAGGTCAGACGGGCACCATCCATCCCAAAGCAATGTTTCACACAATTTCTGGTCGTGTGTTTCTAAATGCGCTACAGTGAGTTCTACGAAACTTCACATGCACAGAATTTATCATGTGAGGAATAAATTTTCTATAAGCCACATTATCTCTGTTTTACATAACTTGTAGAAAGTTCTCTCTCAGGAACCTTAAGGGAAGGCATAGTATAAACATATTTCCTGTTTTAAATTTCCATAACTTGGAGTTATACCTGTTGGCTTGTCTCAGCAGGAAGTGGACAAGCTGGATGTTGCTGAAAGTATTTTTAAAAGAAGAGCAATGTGGCAGAATGGCAAAATCTCTAAACTCAAGATTAGAGGACCTGGGTTCAGGTTCTGTCTTTGCCCCTTGCTATCTTTGTCACTATAAAGTATATACTGTTGTGTGCTTCACTCTAGAGCTGTCTCCCCCAACCAGGAAAAAGGCGGGAAAAGCTAAACACTCACCTTCTCCGCCATTTCTATAGCTAGAAACTCCCACAGTTCTGGCCAATGAGACATAAGTAGAAGTCTGTAAGCCAGTGGATGCCTGAGAAAGTGTAACTTTCCCAAGAAAAGACAACAATAGGCTGGATACTGTTTCTTCCCTCATTTCTTCTTCTCCTGACCATGTTGTGATGCCTGGACCCACAGCAGCCATCTTGTGATTATGAGGGAAAAGCCAAGAGAGCAGCAGACAGGAGCCAGGATGTCAGTGAGCTGTCTAACCCCTGAGGCGGTGGTCTGCCTCCAAGCATCTCATTAGGAGGAACCTCTCCCCAACTTCCAACCCCGAACACAGACACTGTAAGTTGGGCTTTCTGCTACTTGGAGACAAAACATTTCCAATGAACACAGTAACTATGGACGGTTACTCTATCATCTCCTTCTCTATAAAATGAAGAAAGAAGTAGCATACCCAAACCCACAGATACTGTGAATGCTGAATAAAATAATGCATAACAAATATTTAGTTGATGAAGTTCAGAGACAAGGGACATAAGGGCACAGAAAAGGTTTGGTTGGTTGATTTAGTGAAAGTGGCTGAAAAAAGCTGGGAAAAGTAAATGAGGTGATTTTACAACTAATCTGCCTCAATTGTGCTTAGATACATGGCAGCAAAATAATATCTTCTGTGAAGTGCAAGCTTTTATCTTCTAATACCTTCATTTTCCTTTGTTCTTTCTTCTTTGCCTCAAAATACCTTCTCCATCCTTACTCCCCAGCCTGCCACACATACACCATAGCCCCTTTGTATGTATCATGATGCTGTTAGTTCTTTATTTTATTGGGTTATCTTTGAAAGAACTTGGGAAATACAGACATAGAGATGGGAGGCTCGTGTAGATAAGCTAGCTTCTCTTAATCACTTGGCTCCCTGATTTCAGGGGCAAAAGAGAAGCGGCAATTTAACCAGCAGAAGGAACGATCATAAGGGGAGAAACTGTGGCAGGAAGTGTAAGAGTAAATGCAAGCCCCCCCTCCCAGGGATTTAAGGCTATCAAGAGAAGAAGAGAGAAAGAGGAAGAAAGAAAAGCAAGCGGTCTCTACTGAGTGCCCACTAAGTGGCAAGCTGCCACTATGGGATCAGTGGCCAGGGTGGGCTTCAAGGGCATGTGACCTATGCAGTTGCACAAGACCCTGAGCTCAGAAGACCTAGACCTTGGTTTCATGCTCTGCTGTTGCCATCTTGAAGTGCTTAATATGCTTGAACAAGGGGCCCTGAATTTTCATTTTGCACTGGGCCCAGAAAATTACGTAGCATCTCCTGACTGTAGCATCTGTGTCATTTCAACTCGTTAACTCCTCTATGAGGGAGATGGTAGGACGCTATCCCCAACTGAAGATGTTGAGACACAAGGTACTGACAGTTACCTGGAATCAATCCCACCCAGCTAGTAAGGGGCAGAGCTAGAATTTAAACTCAAGTCGCTGCAGCTCCAAGGTCATTCCCACTGCAAGGTCATTCTGTGTTAATGCCAGAGAATCTCTTAGAAAGCACAGCTGAATTCTGCAAATGTCTGGAAAGTAGGAATGAGGGGCTCCAAAAAAGCAAAGTCTCCAAAGCCAAAGAATATGAGTAGCATTGAAGTGAGCACTGGGGCTATTTAGACCCCTTTGCTTTGTATGGGAGAGGGGTTATGGAAGGGATTTGATGGTAACACCCTTGCTGCTTGGTCTTCCAGCTACCATCCCCAAATGCTACTTATGTGTCACACTCTCTTCTAAGCCCTTTGACACTGGATCCCCACAATCACCTTTTGCGGTAGGTGTATAATTCATTACTCCTGTCGACGCATGAGCTACCTAAGGATCTTAGAATTTTGCAAACTTTCACATCTGTGATTTTACTCCTACGCATAACTATGTTACAGGTTGGCCAGGGCAGGTATTATTAGCTCCCTTTGACAAATAAAGAAATTAATTCCCAAGAAGATCTGGACACTTGCATAAGGAAACACACGAAATTAGTGGCAAAGCTAAAACCAGAGCCTGTCCTTTTCATCTTGGATTCTTCTCCTACTAAGACATAAAACGATGAAAAGGAAAAACAAACACACAAACAAAAAACACAACTTCTTTAGCCACTTCATAGCTCTCTTTACTAACGTTCCTTGGCAAAATGATGAGCAATAATAGAACTGCATGAGAATTTCTTCTGGAGTTTTTGATGGGTACATTCATCTCAAAGTTACAGAGCAATATTTGCCAGGGAAAATTAGGGCTGAGTACCAAAAAAAAAAAAAAAAAACAATTTCTCAGCCAATGTAAGCAACTCTATAAATTCATGTAGAAGCTTTAATACCGAACACCAGAGTACACATTCCCCTGCAGAAACTCTGAGGGGAGCGATCCTTGCGCAGAATGAGCAAAGGTGAACCTGGTAACCTCAGGCTGCCCCCAAGAGCTGATGCCCTTTTATGGGCACCACATGTTACCCAAGAACAGTTGCTTCTTTTTCTGATTACCAGAAATCCTAAGGCTGGAGTTTTCTGCTGGGGCCTCTTCAGATTGCTGCCTAAAGAAAATGAAGAAATCGATCTTGACCCTTGCAATCTTTTGATTTAGCAAGAGAACTGGGAGCAGAACTCTTTGCAATTGCCTACTCCATCACTGAAGGCCATTCTTCCTTTTCCCATCAGAAGTGATACTCTGGTTGCCATGGCTCTAAAACCAAACCACAATTTTGTATGTAAATTATCCTTGTATATCAATGATGGCAATAAAACCCAACAGTGGTCTTTTCAAGTGACAATGAATGGAGCACTTTGAGAATGTGGCCTATTGCAGAGATGCTGTTCATCATCATCATTAGAAACAAAGAGGAAGAGGAAAGAGACAAACCACATGAACAATACAAGGGAAATTACCAGATCACCAGGAAATGTCTAGCCTGGGCTTGGCTATAACAAGTTTATGTTGAATTCATTTGACTGAGTAAAATGGAAAAGCTACAATAATGTTTTCTTCCCTATTATTTTTTTTTTTTACAAAAGGCTCACTTAACCTTCAGCCGTAGGATTATCCCACTTTGATGAGAGTGCATTAAACATTAACAATCTTACTATGTTACTCTCCCAGGCCAAATCTTATTAGCATTTAGTTCTGACATTGGTTCTTGCTGGTGAGTTATTTAAAAAATGTAAGAATCTGAGATTGTGTGATAAAAATCACATAGTCACATAATGGAGGTTATTAAAGGCCTTTCAAGATTTGAAACAGGCAGAACCAGCAGTACATGAGGCTCTTAGTCACTGTTTTGCTTTCATTAAAATATTTTGTGAAGCAAAGGGCCTTTCCTTTTGTGAGATGATTCTGAGCAAGGCTTGAAAAACTTTAGGTGCATTGTCCCTTGTAGGAAATTAGGACTAAAAAAATGGTCTTCGCTTCTCTCTACATTCTTCGGCTAGAGTGATCGCACACATTGCTTCCCTCCCTTTCTGTATTCTAAGAACAAGGTTGCCAGGTGGCTGGAACACAGCAGGACCCTGTTTTCTTATTCTGACAAGATGAATACCTGTTTTAATTTCAGGGAACTGGGAAGTAGGTGCCTGATTATCTTTCTGCAATATTATCCTGGTACCTATGAATTCTGAACTCTCAATTACGATTTCTGACTATTGTGGGAGAAGCTGGAGTCACATGGGTCCCTGGAAGGGTCTGGATTGTTAATGTTCCTTAAAGCAGCAGCCTGTGTCTTATGAAGGCTCAGGGGAGGCTGGTGGTGGAAGGAGCTCCATGTGTGTAAGTGATGTGTGCAAATGTGAAGGTGGACAGTCATTTCCAAGGTGTGACTCCAGCCTTCACTGCAGAATCCACAAGCAGAGCCTCTGCTTTCAGAAAGGGCACTCCATGCATATTAGCCACCAAATTGTATCTTGTCAAGACTTGGTTAAGTAACAATTAGAAAAATGGAGAGAATCAGTTTCTTTTCTTCCAACGCTTTTCCCCAATAATTAAGCTAACGGCAGACACTAGCCTCATTCCTTCTGACTAAATAGAAAGCAAAGAAAAACACTCTAAGGGATGGGCAGCAGACATGTTGGAGCAAAGGTCAAGGGGCCTAGGAATCGGCTCACTCCAGAAAGACAAAGCTCAGTATTTTATACCCAGGGAGGCTCTTAAAATGAACAGTTTAACCTTTTGCTTCCTAGAAGACAGAGGAGAGAAACAAACCCTCCTCAAGACCAGCGGCTGACGCCGCTGCTGCTGTATCTCTAGTGCCAGGCATCCTCTCTGACAGCCAGGAAGGGAAAGAGTCTTGGCGGCCTTGGAGCAGCAGTCCTGGACCCCGACTAGATCCTGCACCTGGCTCTGCTCAGCAGTGCACAGGGCTATGGGAACACCGGGGTGGAGAAGGTGCTGGAGGGTCATCAATAATGAATGACCAACATGCCGAGAAGAGCTGGCGGAGAGGAAAGGATTGAGAGGCAGAAGGAGGAGAGAGGCTGCTCTCTCAAAGAGCTGACATGGGCAGCTGGCACCCTGAAAACTCAGTTGATATCAATGTTAGGGGCAAAGGAAAAGAGAAAGAGATGTGGATAGTGCCTTAAAATAAAGATTGGGACAAACTAACAGCCACACTACCCAGAATATGTCTCTAGTTACAAAGACATACTTTGAGTTTAATACTGATCATACAGGGCAATACATATGGCCTGCAATTGTGGGTTCTCTCCTCCTTGGGCTATGGCCAGAGATTTGAGGGACCAGTCTGTTGCCATCATCTCCACTGAATTTTTTCCTGAGCATGAGAGAAAGAACCTATTTAAAAGAGCACAGAGCTTAAAAGGATTTGCTGCTGCTTTCAATGCATGTGTTATTTCAAATGCATGAATTAATAATAAAACTATATTTATCAAGTAAGCAACCCAAAGTTCACAGTATCGCCTGAGGATTAGGTAAAGGAAAGTTTTCTAAACCAAGTGCAAATATACAAACTACCAACATTGATCCCACTGAAAAACTTAGAAAAGCCCATGGTGAATGTCAGTTCATGAGCCGTCTCCCAATAAGACACATATGTATCCACTCACTCACTTATCTGCTTAGTCATTCATGCATTAAATGGACATTTAAGAGCCGAGTATGTGCCAAATGGTGTGCTAGGTTTAGGGTGCTAGATTTGCAACCACGATTACAAATCATGTTTCCTGGTCTGGATACACTTTCTTCCTACTTTGGCTTGTAACAAGGTGGCAAGAAATTCAAGCTCTCACATCCACTGCCCTGTACACCAGCCTCGCTCTGACCTCTGAGGGTGCTGGGGAGGTGCAGAGCAAAGGGCAGCCTTGATGACAGGCTTCCCTAGAACAGCTCCGGTTCCACATGAAATGCTTCTGTATAGACTTGCAAGGAGGGGTGTGGGGAGCAACAGTGAACACATAACACAATATACAGAGGAGCTAAAAATAGGAATTTAAAATCAAGAGGACATTCCACACTAGCTAAAACCAATTACACATCGCAAAGAAACCAAACACTGATACTAAGGCCACTCACCCTATTATCCCTGTTGAGAGAGGCTTTTTAGAGAAAAAGATCCTAAAGTGAAGTGTAAAAGGCATGAAATGACTTGATGATTCATATCATTTCATCTAGATTTAGAGAACTGAGGGAGGTTCAAAGACTCCAAGCTTTCTGGCTCCAACTGGCTTTTTCCTTTCTAGCTCATTCTCTCTATAATAATTTAAAGGTAAATATTGCACCCCCTTTTGGCTAGTGCCAAATAGGAATACATGTATATTTTGAGAGCCGGACTTACATTTATTACTCATGGCCAAGTGCTCTGTATGAGAATCCTGCATTTTTATCTGAGCAGATGCTTACTTAGTATTTGCTCAAATATATTTGAACAAATTTTCATACTAACTAATTTATAATTAATTAAGCAGGACTGTGTTGAGCATTTGCTGTGGGCAAGGCAGAGTTCTGAGGATGACTAGATGATTTGTCAAAGATCCTGCCTTCTCTGAGCATACCGATTTTTAGTGGACTATTTAAGACAAGTATACTGATAATTCTAAAGCAAGATAAAAAGTAGGACAGTAAAGGGAAGGAAAATATGAAGTTTGGAGGAGGCAAAGACAATTTCTGTTTGAGATGATCACAGGGGGCTTTGGAAGAAGGTGGATTTGAGTTGAGTCCTGAAGGACAGTTGTATTTGCTACATCCTGGTGCCTAGAACATCATGGATACTCAATATTTGCGGTAGGGGAACTACAGAAGCATTTTTGTTAAAATCAAGAATAAGATGAAGACATCCTTTATCCTTTACTCAGCATCGTTCTGAAGGCCAACCCAAAATAAACAAGAGAAAGACGTAAGGACTACAAAAATTGAAGCAAGGGAAGTAAAATCATCATATTTAAAGATGATATCACTGTACACCTGGAAAATTAGAATAATAAAACATTTAATTAGATGGCTGGGGGAAGCTCATATCTAGAAATCAGCAGCCTTAATATTTGTAAATTACCACTAGTCAGAAAGTCTCAAAGGAAGGAAAGACTACTATTTAAATACCTAGGAATAAATGTAATGAGACATGTGGAAGAGCTATATAAACTAAACTCTAAAACACTATCAGGGCATGAAGACCTTTAAAGAAATAACATGCATGTCACAGTCTTTGATTGGAAAATTTGTCATTTTAAAGATTCAATTCTTCTTACTTTAGTATATGAATTTTCAAGAATCCAAAAACAGCAATATAATTTTTTCATGGAGTCATAGGCAAGATGATTTTAAAGTTCATTTGGAAAACAAAATAAACAAGAATAAGGAAAAGACAAATATACATAATAATCAATATTAAAACATTTTAAATATATAATAATTAAAACATTCTCATTTTTGTGCATGAAGAGACAGATCCATGGAACAGAACACAGATCAGAAACAGTCTCTCAGTATTTGATAAATATGACATTGTATGTTAATGGAAAAAAGAATTATTGTCAAATAATCAACTGTAAAAACAAATTATAGATCTTTATCTCATACCTTATATCAGCATAGATTCCAGATGAATCAAATATTTAAATGTAAAAGTGAAGCCATTAAAATCTTGACAATAACATCAGGAGAATTTTTTTTAATGCAACTATAGGCATACCTCAGAAATACTGTGCATTCAGTTTCAGACCACCACAATAAAGCAAATATCAAAATAAAGCAAGTCACATGAATTTTTTGGTTTCCCAGCACATATAAAATTATGTTTATACTGTAGTTGATTGAGTGTGCAATAGCATTATGTCTAAAAAACAATGTATATACCTTATTTTAAAATACTTTATGGCTAAAAATGCTAAGGATCATCTGAGCCTTCAGCAAGTTGTAATCTTTTTGCTGGTGGGAGGTTTTGCCTTGATGTTGATGGCTGCTGACTGATGAGGATAATGGTTGCTGAAGGTTGGGGTGGCTGTGACAATTTCTTAAAATAAGACCACAATGATGTTTGCTACATTAACTGATTCTTCCTTTCATGAAATAAGTCTCTGTAGCATGCAATGCTGTTTGGTAGCATTTTACCTCCACATGCACACAAAAATTCTTTCAAAATTGGAATCAATCTCTCAAACCCTGCTGCTGCCTTATCAACTAACTTTATGTAATATTCTAAATACTTTGTTGTCATTTCAACAATGTTCATAGCATTTTCACCAGGAGCATATTCCATCTCAAGAAACCACTTTCTTTACTCATCCATAAGGAACAACTTTTCATTTGTTTAAATTTTATCATGAGATCACAGCAGTTCAGTCACATCTTCAGGCTCTGCTTCTAATTCTAGTTCTTTTGCTATTTCCACCTCATTTGCAGTGACTTCCTCCACTGAAGTCTTGAACCCCTCCAAAGTCATCCATGAAGGTTGGAATCAATTGCTTCTAAACTACAGTTAATGTTGAAATTTTGGCCTCCTCCCAGAAATCAAAACTGTTCTTAATGGCATCTGGAACTGTTAATCCTTTCCAGGAGTGTTTCAATTTACTTTGCTCAGATCCAAGAGGAATCCTTATCTATGGGAGCTATAGCCTCACAAAGTATATTTCTTAAATAATAAGACTTGGAAATCAAAATTACTCTTTGCTCCAGGGCTATAGAATGGATATTGTGTTAGCAGGCATGAAAACAACATGCCTTGTATTACACATTCTTGTACATCTTCATAAGGCTCTTGTGTGATGAGGTGCATTGTCAGTGAGCATCAATATTTTGAGAGGAATCTTTGTTTTTGAGCAGTAGGTCTCAACAGTGGTCTTAAAATATTCAATAAATCCTTCTGTAAACAGATCTGGGCTTCGTTGTTCCATTTTTAGGGCACAGGCAGAGTAGATTTAGCGTCATTCTTAGAGGCTGTATGATTTTTGGAATGGTAAATGAGCATTGGCTTCACCAGCTGCACTATCCCCTAACAAGAGAGTCAGCCTGTCTTTTGAAGCCAGGCATTGACCTTTTAAAATTTTCTCCATATCAGCGATAAGGCTGTTTTGCTTTCTTATCATTCCTGTTTTCACTGGAGTAGCACTTTCAATTTTCTTCAATAACTTTTCCTTTGCATTCACAACTTGGCTAATTATTTTGCCCAAGAGGTCTAGCTTTTGGCCTGTCTCAGCTTTTGACATGCTTTCCTCACCAAGCTTAGTCATTTCTAGCTTTTAACTTAAAGTGAGAGATGTATGACTCTTCCTTTCACTTGAACACTTAGAAGCCATTGTAGGGTTATGAATTGGTCTAATTTCAATATTGCTGTGTCTCAGGGAATAAAGAAGCCTGAAGAGAGGGAGAGAGATGTGCAATGGCCAGTTGGTGGAACAGTCAGTACACATACAACATTTATTAAGTTCTCCATCTTATACAGGTGTGGTTCATGGTGCCCCAAAGCAATTATAATAGCAACATAAACAACACTGATCACAGATCACCATAAAAGAAAAAATGATAATGACAAAGTTTGAAATATTTTGAGAATTACCAAAATATGACACACAGATATGGAGTAAACACATGCTTTTGGGAAAATGGCACTGATAGACTTGCTCAATGGAGAGTTGCCATAAACCTTCAATTTGTAAAAAAATGTGATATCTGTGAATCACAACAAAGAACGCACAATAAAATGAGATTCTCCTACACAGACTGGAGAAGATGCATCTATATGTAACCCCAACACTAGAATCCACAAAAGAAGGTAAATGTGATAACATAAAATACAAATCTAGGCAGCAAAACCTACTATAAACAAAGACAAATGATAAGTGATATTTCAACTTCATATCATAGAAAAAGTGGTAATTTATTCAATAAAGGAAAAGCTTCCTCGAGTCAATAAGAGAAAGGCCAGAAATACAAATGACTTGTAAGCATATGAAAAGACACTTGCCCTCACTTCTTGTAAAACTGTAAACTAAAACCACAAGGACTTGACATTTTTCACCTCTCCCCTTGGCCAAGATCAGAAAGTTTGGTAATGTCCTGGGTTGATGAGGATGTGGGGAAATAGACTGTCCAGCTGCCTGTGGGGGTCTAAATTGGTACACATTCTATGAAAAGCAATTGGCAATGTTTATTAATTTTTTTATTTTATTTTTTTGAGACAGAATCTCGCTCTGTGCCCAGCCTGGAGTGCAGTTTCACGATCTCAACTCATGGCAACCTCTACCTCCTGGGTTCAAGCAGTTCTCCTGTCTCAACCTCCCGAGTAGCCTGGGACCACAGACACATGCCACCACGCCCAGCTAATTTTTGTATTTTTAATAGAGATGGGGTTTTACCATATTGGTCAGGCTGGTCTCGAACTCCTGACCTCAGGTGATCCACTCCCGCCTTGGCCTCCCAAAGTGCTGGAATTACAGGTGTGAGCCACTGCGCCTGGCCAATGTTTATTAAAATTTAATGTGCATAGCATTTGACCCATACTTTACTTGTAATAATTTACTCCTTCAGATGCAAGATGACTTCAGATGCAAAATGTGGAATAGAAAATTCACTAGAGCATTGCTGTGGAACCAAAGAGTAAAAACCCAGTGTCTACCAACAGGGAACAAGATAAGTAAATTGGTTCCTATTCATACTATAGAGTTCTGTGCACTTATTAGGAAAAGCAAAGGATTGCTCTATGTGGTAATATGGACTAGTTCTAATCACCTCCTATTCACCCAGTTGGTAAAGGTGGATCCTCTGCCCTAAATAATATGAGAAGGTCAGACAAACAACACCCCACACCACTTAAAAGAGACAGATCGTGGTTTACTAGTCACATACACTTGCAGCCTGGGGGAGGAGGACACTGTTCACCATACAGGGGCTACAGTCCACAGCAGAGCAAACCACAAGGGCTGTGGGAGGCCGGCTATGTAGTAACAAGGGGGAGAGGTGTCCTCAGGTTCCTACAGGAGGATGTGACTAATGTCATGGGCTGGCCGGGAGGTGAAACCTGTTAGGTTGAGGAATGGGTACGGCCCAGCAGGCCCAGATGATAGAGGAACCATTTAAGTAGGGAGCCTTTCTCTTTGGGAAGGTTGGGGGGAATATCTGGTAGAAGTAGGGAAACTCAAGACTTTTGGGCTCAAAGGCACTACATTAAATTTTAAGTCTTACAATAGAGAAATGATATCTTAATAGGTGAAAGAAGAGGTTTAGAATACTGTGGAGAGTATGCTACTTTTTAGATGAAAGTAGCATATGGATGCTAATATGTTTGCATCATGCATAGAGTATCTCTGGCTGAAACACACAACACAAAACAAATAATAGATTTTTATAGGGAAGGAAATTAGTTGATTGAGGATGGGGTAAAAAAGAGTCCATTTCTGCTGTGAAATGTTTTGTATCATGTACATATAACCATGAATAAATATGATTTATATTTCTTAAAAATGCCTTTATTGAATTAGGTAGTGGAGTCAGAAACTCATGGGGGAATCTAAGGGAAGCTGGTTTTTCATTTGTTTGTTTGTTTTTGTTTTGCTTTGAGACAGAGTCTCACTCTTGCCCAGGCTGGAGTGCAATGGCACAATCTCAGCTCACTGCAACCTCCACCTCCTGGGTTCAAGCAATTCTCCTGCCTCAGCCTCCTGAGTAGCTGGGATTATAGGCACATGCCATCACTCCTGGCTAATTTCTGTATTTTTAGTAGAGATGGGGTTTCACCATGTTGGCCAGGCTGGTCTTGAACTCCTGACCTCAGGTGACCCACCCGCATCCGCCTCCCAAAGTGCTGGGATTACAAGCGTGAGCCACCACACCTGGCCTGGAAGTTGGTATTTTTAGTTACATAAATGATGTGGTGCATGATGAAAAGCAAGGGCAAATAACAAAAAAAGAATGTAGGTAAAGGAATGATGATCTTGGCCTTTTATGGCTTGTATTAGTCTGTTCTCATGCTGCTAATAAAGACATAAAAAGAGGTTTAATGGACTCACTGTTCCACATAGCTGGGGAGCCCTCACAATCATGGCAGAAGGCAAAGGAGGAGCAAAGGCATGTCTTACATGGCGGCAGGGAAGAGAGCACGTACAGGGGAACAGCCCTTTCTAAAACCATCGGATCTTGTGAGACTTATTCACTATCACGAGAACAGCATGGGAAAAATCCACCCCCATGATTCAATTACCTCCCACTGGGTCCCTCCCACCACATGTGGGAATTATGGGAGCTACAATTCAAGATGAGATCTGGCTGGGGACAGCCAAGCCATATCATGGCTGTACCACAGAAACTGAAGGCAGGAAGGACTGAGTTAACACACTGTGTGTTATGTGTCCGTGTGTGTGTGTGTGTGTGTGTGTATGTGTATGTGTGTGTTGGGGGCCTCTGAGGCCGTTTGGAAAGCTAGATTTTCAAATTCTGATTGCTTGGATTTACTTCAATAATGATGCAGGTTCTGAAATTTCAAAAACATCAGAGGAGATATGAGTTTTGTATGGGTTTCCAATAAGTATTCTAAAAGGGGGAAAAGTTTGATAAACACTGGAGTAGGAAAAAAAGAATTAGAAGTGGGAAGGACAAGACTTTGCCCTGAGTTCTCCTTTTAGTGACAACGAACTTTTGCATTGTGTCTTGCACTTTACACAGAATTTATATAGTGATGCTCTCCTGGTTCCCTGGTTGAAAGAGTTGGCACTGTAGCCATTCTTCTTGGGTTCGAATCTTGGCTCCGCCACTTAATTGGCTATGGGCAAATTACTTTACTTCTTTGTGCCACTGTTTCCTAGCCTGTAAAAGGTGTCCACTCTTGTGATAGTGCCGGCTCTTATTACCACTCAATAAATGGCAGCAGCTATTGTTATAATTGACTACGACTCTATAACATAGGAGAGCAAGTATCACCTCTTCCACCTTGCAGATGAAGAAGCTGAGGTTGGGATAATGAAGTAATTTATTCCAGGTCACACAGATGCTTAGAACAAACTGAAGATAAACTAGATTTCCAAATCTGTTCATCTTAGAGGTTCCTTATTAATAAATATGTAGAAATTATTTTCCACCTATAAGCAGCATGTTATCATGTCCCCCAAAATTCATATATTGAAGTCCCCACCCCCAGTGCTTCAAAATGTGACCTTATTTGAAGTAGGGCTTCTGCAAATGTAATTAATTAAGGTTGTCCTGGAGTAGTGTGGGTCCCTAATCCAGTGTGAGTGGACTTGGAGACATACAACAGGTAGAACACCACGTGAAGATGAGGGCAGAGGTGGGAGAGATGCTTCTACAAGCCAAGGAATGCCAAAGCTTGTCAGCCAACAACATATGCTAAGGAAGAGGTGTGGCACAGATTCTTCTTGGCAGCTCTTGGTAGGAGCCAACACTGCCAATATCCCAGTCTTGAACTTTTGGCCTCCAGAACTGAGATTGCAAATTTCTGTTTAGGTGACTCAGTTTGTGGTACTTCGTTGTGACAGCCCTAGCAAACTGATACAACCAAGGGGTAGCTTCTGACCAGGATAGTTTCCTATGTGGTGAGAGAGAAAATGAGAAACAGGATCACAGTTTTAGCTTCTCCACATTGAGAAACTAAGACATGACTCTATCAACTAAAAAAAAAAATCCTTCAAGAGCTAACGATAAATACATACTTCACTGATGATACGTTGCTTTGAAATGTCAGTCTGGAGTAGTCTAGAATGATACACAAAACACTCTCTCCTGAACCAGGGATGCACACACATTTACTTCACTACGAAACCCATCAATCTGAGTACATGACAAATAAATCAAAAGTTCCCATTTATTTACATTGGTCAAGGATTGCATATTTTCTTTTATATCTTTCCTATATTGTTTCCCCTGCTCGGTACATGTTGATACTGTTCTTTCTGAATCTGAAACTCGGAGAAGAATATCAGATGGTATTACAAATCCTACCTTGTTTTCACACAAGCCAAGCTATCACTGCTGCTTTGACTATAATGCTATGTTCCACCAGTGTATCAAATCAAGAGATTCCACAAGTAATAAATAAATCATATTTTCCCCCTCTAAAGTTCTGCGAACTACAACACTTCTTTTATTCTTGCATATTTCTGTCATGGCCACACTGCCTCATTTAATACCCATTTAGTAACGATCAAGATCTCTTTCAGTGTACAGGACACATCACAGTCTCATCCACATTGCATTTTTTCACTCAGATGAACCTGGTGCTTGACTCACAGAAGAAGTCAAAGAAACGGTATACACTTCAGCTCCTTTTGACAAACATTTACTGACCACCGCCAAGATGCCAGGCACATGGACATTCCGCATGCCTGCATTCAAGGAGACGCCAGACTCAGTTGAGTGGATATGAAGGAATCATATGTCTATGCCACCCCCTTCACTGACAATTGAAATGCCATTTCGAGACGTTTCACAACTCAGTCACATTAGTCAACAAATACTTTGCTTAGTCAACAACTAAAGTTAGACCATAAAAATCCAGGTGTTTAACAAATAAGCCAAAAACTCATGATATTCCCCCAAATATATCTTATCAAAGTGTGACAGGCTGAGACAGAATGCTTTTGCTATACTGGAATAATCAGGTCTGCAGGTACATTGTACTGTCCCCTTCCCACTGGTTTCCTGTCTGCATATTCTTCCAACCTAAGCAGTGGAGTCTACCTAACTTTCATCTCTAGGTAAGTTTCAGACCAGCAATCTATTTCACCTTTCTGAGCCTCAAGTTTCATTTTTTTATCTATAAATTGGGTATAGTGTAACCTATTCCAGTTTTATGGGTATAGAGTTTGGAAATCTATGTTAAAGCAGTTCTTCTAAGCAATCAATAGTATCAGAAAAAAAAAAGATAGAGAAAAAGTAAAAGCTACTATCAATACATCGATCTTTTCAAGTTCACATGGTATGTTGACTAGGATAGATCATATGCTAGAAAAAGCTAGTTTCTTAAGGTAGAAATTTAGATCCTTGATCTAAATAATCTGAGGAGCAAATTAAACTCAGGGTAAGTAAAAGAATGAAGTAGTAAAAAGGAGAAATGAAATATAAAATTAACAAACAAAAGAGAAAAATGATAAAACCAAAAGTCGGCACTTTAAAGAGCTAATAAAATTTATAAACTCCTATTTAGACTCATTAAGAAAAAAACGAGAGAAATGAAGATTACTGATATCAGGAAAGTGAGAAGGGATATTGCTATAGATTCTACAGTCATTAAAGGATAACAAGGCTGAATGGATATTTCCCCAAGAAAGATACATACACATGGCCATCAAGCACATGGGAAGATGCTCAACATCATTAGCCATCAGGGAAATGCAAATCCAAAGCAAAATGAGTTTCTACTTCACACCCACTAGGATGGCTGTAATAAAAAAGATAGATGACACCAAGTGTTAGCAAGGATGCAGAGAAATTGAAATCCTCCTGCACTGCTGGTGAAAGTCTAAAATGGTGCAGTTATTTTGGAAAACAGTCCATCAGTTCCTCAGAAGCTTAAATATAGAGTTACGTTATGATCCAGAAATTCTTCCCCTAGGTATATTCCCAAGAGAAATAAAAATGTGTGTTCACACAAACATTTGTACATGAATGTTAACAGCAGCATAGTAAACCTTAAAAACATTATTCTAAGTGACAGAAGCCAGTCTCAAAAGACCACTTATTATATTATCTCATTTATATAAAAAGTCTGGAATAGGCAAATCTACAAAGACTGAAAAGAGAGGAGTGGTAGCCTAAGGCTGGGTAAATAGGGTGGGAAGGACTGGTATGGCACCACGATTTCTTGTTAGGGTGATAAAAATGTTCTAAAATTAGCTGTATAGCTAAATCTCTTTAAAAACACTGGATTGTATACATCAAATGGTAAACTGTGTTATATGTGAGTTATATCTCTATAAAGATGCTACCATAAAAACCTACAAAGACACAATAAAAGGTAATATGGAAATTGTATGAACAAATTTATGCCAATAAATTTAACAACTTACAGGAAATGAACAAATTCCTTCAAAGACTGAAAAGAACAAAATTACCCAAGAAGAAATAGAAAAATTGAATAGCCCTGTGTCAATTAAAGAAATTTCACTCATAAATACAAACTTCCCACAAAGAACTCTCCCAACCTGGAGAGGTTCCCTGGCAAATTCTACTAAATGTTTGAGAAAGAAAATAGTAAAATCCTCCACAAATTCTCTGAGAAACAGAGGAGAGAACATTTCCAATTATTTAAAAGGCCAGTGTTGCCCAGACACTGAAACAAGCAAGTTATAAAAACATTAGGGCCAGGCACAGTGGCTCACGCCTGTAATCCCAGCACTCTGGGAGGCCGAGGCGGGTGGACCACGAGGTCAGGAGATGGAGACCATCCTGGCTAACACGGTGAAACCCCGTCTCTACTAAAAATACAAAAAAATTAGCCGGATGTCATGGTGGGTGCCTGTAGTCCCAGCTACTCGGGAGGCTGAGGCAGGAGAATGGGGTGAACCCGGGAGGCGGAGCTTGCAGTGAGCTGAGATGGCACCATTGCACTCCAGCCTGGGCGACAGAGCGAGACTCTGTCTCAGAGGGGGGGAAAAAAAAAAAAAAAAAAAAAAAAGAACATTAATGACAATATCTCTCATTAACACAAACACAAAAATCATTAGCAAAACATTAAAAACTCAAATGTATCCACACATACATAATAATAATAATATATCACGGCCAAGTGAAGTTTAACCCTGGAATGAAAGGCTGTTTAACATCCTAAAATTAGTCAATATAATTCAACATATTAATAGATTAAAAGGAGAAAAACCAAATGGCCATCTAAATAGATGCAGAAAAAGCATTTTAAAAAGCATTCATAATAAAAACTCTCCATAAGAAAGAAAAAACTTCCCTCACTATAATACTCTAGTAAATTAAAATTTTATCCCACCATAATGTAGTTCTTGACCGATGTCAGCTATAAAATCATCTGCAAGACAGAACAGGAAATGACCAGTATGTAATATTAAGTAATATTTTACAAGGCTATAATTAATCAAAGATATAAATAAACTAAAACAAATTAGCAAACCTGGTAGATACATAAAATTCTATAATCTTCAAAAAAAAACCTTCTACATAAAGAATTCATCAATGTAACATGTTAAAATACTATTTAAAATAGCTTCCCAAAACAGAAAGTACTTAGGAATAATTTTAATGAAAGGTATGTGAGATATATACTGAAAACCTCAAAATACTGTTGAGAGAAATTAAAGAAGATCTAAATAAATAATATATACCGAGAATGATGATTTCCAATTTCATCCATGTCCCTGGAAATCATCATTCTCAGTAAACTATCGCAAGAACAAAAAACCAAACACCGTATATTCTCACTCATAGGTGGGAATTGAACAATGAGATCACCTGGACACATGAAGGGGAATACCACACTCTGGGGACTGTGGTGGGGTGGGGGGAGGGGGGAGGGATAGCATTGGGAGATATACCTAAGGCTAGATGACGAGTTAGTGGGTGCAGCGCACCAGCATGGCACATGTATACATATGTAACTAACCTGCACAATGTGCACATGTACCCTAAAACTTAAAGTATAAAAAAAAAATAATAATAATAATAATATATACCATGTTTAAGGATTAGAAAACTCAATATTCTTAAGATGTTGGTTCTTTTCAAGTTTATCTAATGACTTAATAGATCTCAATTAAAATTTCTGAAGACGTTTTGTAGAAATCGATAAGCTGATTCTAAAATTTATACAGAAATGCAAAGGACCTAGAATAGCCCAAACATTCTTGAAATAGAAGAACAAAGTTGAAGGACTTACTCTATCTAATTTCATGATTAACTATAAACATACAAATCAAGAGTGTGGTTTTAGTGAAATAAAATAGAAACAGAACAATGAAATAAAACTGAAAGCCCAAAAGTAGCCCTACATATATATGGCCAAATCAATTTCAACAAAGATATCAAAGCAATTCAATTGAAAAAGAAACATCTTTTCAAGAAATTGAGCTGGAATGACTAGATAGCCATGTGGAAAAAGAAAAGAACTTTGAATCTTACCACATATTGTATATAAAAATTAACTCAAGATGAATCATAGACATAAATGTATAACTTAAAAGTATAAATATTCTAGAAGAAAATATAAGATAAATCTTTGTGACTTTGAGGAAGGCAAGATTCCTTCAAACACAGAACGCAATAACCATAAGAGAAAAATATCCATAAATTTAACTGCAAAATTTAAAACTCATTATCAAAAGACAATCTCAATAAAATAAGCAAACTACAGATTGGGAGAAAATATTTCCCAGACCTGTATCTTACAAAGAACTCCTACAATTTAACAATAAAAAGACAACACAATTTTTTAAAGGGCAAACATCTGAATAGACATTTGACAAAAGATAGGTGAATAGCCAATAAGCACTTAGAAAAGGCAATCAACATTATTACAGAGAAATGCAAATTAAAACTACATGAGAAACACACCAAATAGAATAGCTGAAATTTTAAAGGCTGATAATATTAAGTGTTGGCAAGGATGTGGAACAATCAGAATGCTCATATATTGCATGGATGTGTAAAATGGATAATTGTGAAAACTCTGATAGTTTTTTTCTTAAAAGATATGCATCACTCTTATCACTCAGCAATTCTACTCCTAGGCATTTATCCTAGAGAAATGAGAATATATGTCCACAAAAAGCCTTGAACAAGGCTTTTCATGGCAGCTTTTAGACATTCCAAGTGTCCATAAACAGGAGAATGGATAAACTGGCATATTCATTCACACAATGGAACACTACTCAGGCATAAAAAGGAAAAAGGTATGGCCATATGCTGCAACATGGATAAATCTCAAAAATATTATGCTAAGTGAAACAAAGTAGACACAAAAGAGTACATATGGTATGATTCCATTTATACAAAGTCCTAGAATAGAACCAAGTGTGGTGATAGACATCACATCTGTGATTGCTTCTGGGTGGGAAAGATTTATTGGGAAGGGGAATAAGAGAACTTTCCCGCATGATGGAAATGTTGTTGATTTTGGTAGAGCTGTGGGTTACGTAAGTATAGTCAACACAGATCAAACTGTGTACTTAAAAGCTATGTATTTCACTGTATGTAAATGTACCTCAAAACAAACAAATAACTGAAACAAACTTCTATCCAGATCTTTAAATGCACAGCTGATGTGCTATTTCATTCACATGGTAACAAACGCTAATAGCAGTTTCCTTTGTGTAGTTATTTTTATTTACTCTCTTCCCACTGGCTGCTTAAATCCAATAGAATGTCAAATATTAATATTATATTAAGCCTTACAATTCTATATTACCCTATATAAAAACATCCTAAATATATATAAGCAACCAAAGACTTTCAGGTAGGGGAACTGAAAAGGAAAGGGTGTTTTATACCAACAAAACCTGGTAAAAAATGTTGTCACCTAAGATTATTTTATTTCATTTTGCCTCCGTTGTTTCATATCTCCCCTCTCTCTCTCCCTCCTATGCAGTGATGAGATCAGTGGCTCCAAACTGGGTCCTGGGGGAGTCTCAGCAGCTCTCTCTGGGCCAGCCGGATCTGGGGAGGGGGTTACTGAGGGCACTCCTTGTCTTTCCTCTCCAGCTGCACCAGAGCACTCTCCCTTTTTCACAGTTGCGTATACTGGAGTTCTAGATAAGATTTTATTTGAACAAAGGGTTCTTTTTTTTTTTTTTTTGAGACGGAGTCTCGCTCTGTCGCCCAGGCTGGAGTGCAGTGGCGGGATCTCGGCTCACTGCAAGCTCCGCCTCCCGGGTTCACGCCATTCTCCTGCCTCAGCCTCCCAAGTAGCTGGGACTACAGGCGCCCGCCACTACGCCCGGCTAATTTTTTGTATTTTTAGTAGAGACGGGGTTTCACCGTTTTAGCCGGGATGGTCTCGATCTCCTGACCTCGTGATCCGCCCGCCTCGGCCTCCCAAAGTGCTGGGATTACAGGCGTGAGCCACCGCGCCCGGCCTGAACAAAGGGTTCTGATGTTAAAATGCATGCAAAAGCATACCAAGTTTCCTCCTAATTTTATTATTCTACCATTCTAAGATGGAGAGTGGTGGCTGCTATGGTTTGGATATGTGTCCCCACCCAAATCTCATTTTAGTTGTAATCCCCCATGTTGGAGATAGGGCCTGGTAAGAGGTGATTGGATCATAGTGGTGGATCCTTCGTGAACGGTTTAGCACCACCCCTTTGGTGCTGTTCTCATGATAGAGTTCTCACGAGATCTGGTTCTTTAACAGTGTGTGATAGCTCCCCTCTCTCCCTCCCTCCTGCCCTGGCCATGTGAAGTGCTGCTCCTCCTTTCACCTTCAGCCACCATTCTAAGTTTTCCCAAGGCCTCCCCAGAAGCCAAGCAGATGCCACCATGCTTCCTGCACAGCCTCCAGCAACATGAGCCCAATTAAACCTCGTTTCTTTATAAATTACCCAGCATTAGGTATTTCTTTACAGCAATGTGAGAATGGACTCATACAGTGGCCTAAATCACATTTTTGGACAGAACAAACTTCATAAAGGGACTATGGCTTTGGTAATAATATCCAACAAGCCCCCTAACCAATAAACTCACCTTCTTTGGGGTTCCTCTTACCTGGGGCACTTTCCCAGTCTACATCTCTGTTGGAATTGCTCCCACCACCTACTCCCAGTCTGTAGATGTGGGCTAAGGCAGCCATGTTTGAACCATGTGGCTTTAGTCATTTCAATAACAGCCATTGGGATCAAAGGTAACCCTTATCCTAATACAGGAAAATCAGGTCCCTCTTCCTCCCACTTATGCAAACCATGTTAAGTACCCTAATCCATTAGGAAATGTGCTTATTCTGGTTGGAGACAGCCTGTGAACAAATGGTACCTCTGTCTGAATTACAAAAAGGACCTCTTGTGGTGGAAGGCGTGGAGAAGCAGAGCATGGGTTGTATTTCAGGTCCCACTTGCCCCCTTGGCTAGGCACTGTCACACAGGACACAGCCCGCATATCCATCAGCAGTACCCCTGCAATAGCTTAGCCCAGGGATTGGCAAACGAGGGTCTGTGGGCCAAATTCAGCCTGTCCCGTTTCCACAAGTAAGTTTACTAGAACAGAGCCATGCCCATTTGTTTACTATTATTTGTGGCTACTTTGGTGCTATAAGAGCAGAGTTGAATAGTTGCTACAGAGACTATACGGTTTGCAAAGCCTAAAATATTTATTAACTGGCCTTGGCTTAGCCCATGTCTGATATTCATTTTCTTCAGGTCCATACTCCAAAATAATGAAATGAGTCTACTGCTGAGTACAGAATATAGCACCAACTATTGGAGCTGAAAGGGTGCTACTGACTACTTGGTCGGCATTTGCTTTTAAATAAAATGCAATGCTGGATCCTATGGATTCTAAGAATATATGGATCCTATGGATTCTAAGAATATATGGAATTTTGTTTCTATTTAAGAGAAATGGATGGGGAGGAAGGAAGGAGGAGAGAGGAAGTGGGAAAGCGGAAAGGGGAGGGGGGAAGAGAGGGAGAGGGAGAGAGAAAACAAACACTAGCCCATCCGAAGAACTTTTCAAAACCTCACCCCATCACAATTTGAAGAACATCCTGCACCTCGAATTGTTCTACATTTTTTGCAAACAGACCTCATCTGTTGCTTTACTATTTTTCTGTGCTGTCTCAGCAATCTTCAACATGCAGAGGGACTATGAATAATAACTGGAGATGAAACACAATTATCTTGAACTTGTTACATGATAATGGCAAAGAATGAACCAAAATAGACAGATGGGAGGTTCTGACGGGAATACCCAGTAAGAACACCCCCTTGGATATAACTGGACGCAGATTTTTTGTTTAGAGTTTCTTTAAGAGGGGTCAAAGAAACTAACTAGCACAGAGTGATGTTTTGGCTTTTTTTGGTTTCTGTTTTGGCAGAGGAGCGGTTAGAAAGGGATGAAATTCTTAGATATGCAGAATAATCACAATACAAATATATCCAGGGAAAAGTCAGTAGCCTTCAGGGATGAGAAAGAGCCTCACATGTGAGATCAAGAGCTGTTGGAAAAGTGATGCGTTCAGAAAATGTAACATTGTTCTTAATCCATCAGCCCATGTCAAGGTCCCTGTGTCATCCATGCCAGGACAGCTCTGGGCCAGTTCAGGAGGTGGTGAGATTTCAATTCCTCATGCACCTTTACAAAGAAATCTCTCAAGAGGGCAAGAGGCCCTCCTTCCAGGGGATGCACTGGTCCACTTTTTATGCTCTTAAGAAACTATACATCAGTAACATCTTGCTTATGTGAAGAAAACTTTGGGTTCAGTTCATCTTGCAGAAAGAATTACTCAAGGAGAACAAGAGCAGGTCAGGCCTGCAGAACCCTGCAGTTTTGAAAATACCCAGTAGAGGGCATTGTTAAAACAGTCTGACGGGAAAATAGAAGTTTAACAGACTAGAGAAAAGAAAGGGTTGTTTTGTCATCAGGACCAACTCATTTCCCTCTAGTCTGCAGATATGAGTAATTCTAAGTCTATGGGATTTCTCAGCCGTTTTTAATTCCATCGTTCACTTGCCTTGGTTCGACCTGAATTTCTCCTGTCCAGCCAGAGTCTCCTCTGTCCTTGGCAGTGAGAGAAGCGACTGTCACTTCTGGCTGTGTGTGATCAGCGAAATGGAGCGTTGTGATACACCAGATACAGGTTCCAGCCACTGTGCCAGAAGAGAGGGGAGGAGAACAAACGACAGCTGGAGTTGACCATACAGGGGTGTCAAGTCTACGCTTGTGACTCAAACATGTAGCTTATTAAATAAAATGTTTGATGCCCTGGGAAAACCAGTACACTGGGGAAGGCAGGCTCTGCGGCTGTCAGTGTGAGAATTCTCCACCCGGGGCCTCTTCTGCTTAGGACAGTCTGGATCACACGGCTCCCTACCGTGTTACTGTGTTCATGTCTCTTAGGCTTGGCTTCCTCTGGAGTGTGCTGTGTGACGCCAGATTTTTAAACACGTATTGGCATGCACATATCTATCTGGACGTTTGTGTCCCACTATTTCAGGGTTAATAATGGGATGCACTTTGAGGCCTTATTTTGAAAAGGGACCAGCTCTAAAGGAGAAAAAGCATCTGTTCTTTCTTTTAGTAACTTTCTATTGCGCTCAGTACTTTGCCCAGTACACAAGTACGCTCGGTAACTATACTGACGTGCTCGGCCCTTTCTTTTTTTAAAAATTTGCTATTGTGATGTGATGAGGACCCTAAAAGAAAACCTTTCTTTGAGCATGATTTTAGCCAGGCTTGTCCTTTCCATCTTTAGAAATGCTACTCTGCTCTATCTTTCTAGGTATATCTTTCTAGCCCATCAGAAAGTCTGGCTTGCTGTTCTCAATTCAACAAACACTTTTCAACACTGGCTTTGTTCAAAGAACTTGATTAGGTACTGTGAGGTTACAGAGATGAATAAGACAGAGATCAAGCCCTTGAAGAGTTTAAATTCAGCAGGGAGTAAAGCCATATGGACTAGTGTAATAAAGAACAGAACAAAATATGTGCAGCAATGCTGTAGAGGACAAGCACTTCAGGAGTGTTAGGAAAAGAATAATGTAGTCTTCCTGGAGAGTGAAGGAGGTGGATTTGAACCCAGCCATGAAGAACTAATAGAATTTCCTTAGGTGGGAAAAGAAAAAGGACAGTCTGGTTGAAATGATGGCATGGGGATGCTGGGTATTTGAGGGACATATAACTATGGAGAGTGGCTTGCCTATGAAGCTCACGGAAGCAGATGGGGATGGAGACGGACGCAGAGAGGTCACCAAGGAGCTTGAATGCCATCTAAGGGCTTGAAGTTAATAGCCTAGGGAATGACGAGTTGAAACATCGGAGCCTGAGAGATCAAGCAGAAGGATCTAGGTATAGCCTGGCCCCAGGGATGTGGAGAGTGTGAACTGGAGCACAGGCAGGGAAAAGAGTGTAGAGTTGAGAGGCATGGTGATCATCTGGCGGGAGCAGAAGCCAGAGGGATACTCACTCCACCTGTTCTTCCAGAGCTTTGCCTCTTGAGAGTCTGGATCCCTAGATTCTGCATAGTGAGTGAAAGAACCTGCATTTCAAAGAACTCAGATTCAAACCTTGTTGCCCTTGGCACAGAGTTGACAGCTACAAACAATTCAACCCAGCCATGAAGGGTGTTGCTGGTGAGAGTAGCAGCTTTTAATTAATCCGTGTGAGGCTCTGCTAACATAGGTGCAAATTGAGCACTTCCTTTAAGAATCCCTAATGAGGACCAGTTTCTAATTAAGCGCATTTTCTTCCACTATATGCCTAGTTTCTTCCTTGCTTCTGCAGCAATAGAAGCCACACTGACTTATCAGCAACAGATGATTCTTGAAATCAATCCCCAAAAGTGTCAACTAGAAGAAGGGGGTCCCATGAAGCCAAGAACTTCTTAAAGTCCGAGACTCAATAAAGGGGTTTACTCACCAAGGACCCATTTCGAGGGACTTCCAAAATACCTTAAATGGAAGCTGTGGAGAGGAAGGAAGCTGAGGAAGGAAGAGGGCTGGCAGAAGGTCAGAAGAAAAACTGCCATCTGCTAGGTGTGAAGCTATCGAAAACATGCCGGGAAGTCTTTTGAGAGGAGGGAGGGCAGAATGCAAAGTGCCTGAAAAACCTGTGACCTAGCAAAGGTGGACCAGGGAGGTGATATGAAAATGGGAAGGATGTCAACCTCTTGAGAATGAGCCCAAACACTGAATAGGGTTTATGCAGCATACTGGGTGTAACGCTTGAACTCGGAGATCAGTCCAGTCCTAAGGGCCTTTATGTGCTGCAGAATTCTTTGCGATAAAATCTCGATTTCTTTATTTTATGAGAGATTGATCGTCCTAGGATTTCTCTATTCTGTTTTTCTTATTTATGATTCACCATGCCAAAATGAACTTTTCATTCTCTTTTGAATGGAAAGTTCTATCTGTCTTGATAGTGAAGAATAAACACATTTTAAATGCCAATTTTCTTCATGCTTAATTTTTTCTAATCCAATCTGAGAAGTGACAGGGAAAACAACAGTTCTGACAAGGAGAGACCAATAACTTTCAGCAAATCCATTAATTAGGGTCATGTTTACACTTCTTGACATTGACTAAACATCTGCCTAGATTTTCTTAGTTTATAAAGTCATAACCACCTGTCCACATGAGATAATGTACTCTATTTAAGTTTTGTAAGTATGTGAGAACTGTGGGCTTCTATCTTCTGTGGGAAGAGAGATTTAGCTCTATAAAGAATGCTGGATGTAGAGTCAGAAGACCTGGGCTGAATTTCACCTTTGACATTTGATAGCAGAGAGGTATCGGGCAGGTAACCTGTGTTTCAGCATTTGAAAAAGGTAGTAGTAACTACCTCCCAGCGTGAACATGAGGTTCTATGATAATAGGCATTGAGTAATTCAACAATAATGTCCTGAGGAACTTTTGCTAAGAGCAGGGGTGGGGAATGCCACTTAGCTGTGTTGCTCAGGAAGCAGCGTGGCTTTCGTGATTCTGTGAAATGGGCAATTCATGGACACAGATTGGGTTCCAAGCAATAAGGGGCTCATCCTGACAATAAGCTTTCAATACCACAGGAAAACGGGGAGGGGGAGAGAGAGTGAGAGAGAGAGAGAGAGAGAAAGAAAGAAAATAAGAATGAATGAATGAATGCTAACTTTGTAGGGAGAACATGGGAGACAAAGAAAATAGAGAGGGAGAGCATGCAGGTTAGGAGATACGGCCTCAGCTACCACTTTTCAGTAAGTAACCAGACAGTAAAGGAAATACAAAGATGAGGATCTACCGTGGACTATTTCCTGAGCTGCTGATTAAGGGTTAATACCATTTCATAGGTAGGGAAAGTTCAAAGACTGTTATCAGAAACTATATCATCCTTTCTAGTTTATTGTAGACATGTTGTATATGCATTGTTAGTAATTCTCATTTCTAAATTTGGGTTTCGTGGCTCTGCAGAGCCCTTTGCCATCTTCTATGCCATTTCAAGGACTCCCCTTGGTACTGGCATTTATAAACATCCAGGCCAAGTGAACCTTACCTAAGTCTTAGAATCAAGGTTCAGGTACTCAGAGTGAGCAGGAAAACTGTTGCCCTTTAAAAAATCTACATAAGATGTTTCTGACAGGGTGAGAAATTCATGACAAGATCATGCCAACGCACCTCCTTCAAGGGGACAGCTCTCTGGAGGACAATCTTCCTCATGCTTCTTAGACCTCTGAGCCTTCTAATGTGCCCGGCCTTCTTTCCCCTAAGCCTCACTCCTCAATTCATTCTCTAAATCTCATTGGCCCTCAATGTTCACTGTCACCCACCATTCCATACTAGGCTTGCCCCTACTGGTCAACATACATCTAGTTTCCCCAGAATGTGACTTTGACCTCCCTCCAGCCTGTGCTATCATCTTTCCTCTTTAACCTGGCAAACTCTGACAGACTACTTAGCTTATTCTTCTTCCATCCCAGTCAAACCAATGCAGCCTTCTTCCCTGCTACCTGTGGGGGTAGCCCCCTAGCCAAACTGTCCTAGTATTGAGGGCTGCACCTGGTCAAATGTAAAGTTTCCAGCACTGGATCCCTTCCATTCAGTAGTATTATGGAGTAAATTTCAGTATTATGGTGATATTCCAGAAGCCATTCCACCAGGATAATTAGAAGAGTCTTAAAAGTAAGAACTGAGTTTTCTAGTACCTTTTGAGGGACAATTCTTGACTTACTAAATTACCTATATACAATATTTCCATTATGGATTCACTGGCAAATTCTACCAAATATTTTTTTAAAACACCAATCCTTCCCAAAGTCTTAAAAAAATAACTGAAGGAGAGAAAGCACTTCCAAACTCATTTTATAAGGCCAGTATTACCTTGACACCAAAGTCAAAACAAAGACACTACAAGAAAAGAAAACTATAGGCGAATATCCCTGATGAACATAGATGTAAAAAGTCTCACCTATCTAGAAAACAGAATTCCATAGCACATTAAAAGTACCATACACCATGACCAAGTGGGATTTATTTCTGGGATCTGATGATAGTTTGACATATGCAAATCAATTGATATAATATACATTAACAGAATGAAGGACAAAAATCACACAATCATCTCAATAGATGCAGAGAAAGCATCTGACCTTCCAAGATAAAACTCTCAACAAACTAGGTATAGAAGGAATTTACCTCAATATAAAAAAGTTGGCTGGGCGTGGTGGCTCATGCCTGTAATCCCAACACTTTGGGAGGCCAAGGCGGGCAGATCACCTGAGGTCGGGAGTTTGAGACCAGCCTGGCCAACATGGTGAAACTCCGTCTCTACTAAAAATACAAAAAATTAGCCAGGCATGGTGGCACATGCCTATAGTCCCAGCTACTTGGGAGGCTGAGGCAGGAGAATCACTTGAACTGGGGAGGCGGAGGCTGCAGTAAGTCTAGATCACGCCACTGCACTCCAGCCTGGGTGACAGAGTGAGACTCTGTCTCAAAAAAATAAATAAAAATAAAAAAGGTCACATATGACAATCCCGCAGTTAACATTATACTAACGAAAAATAAAAGCTTTTCTTCTAAGATCAAGAATAAGATAATGATGCCCACTGTCACCACTTACTTTCAACATACTACTGAAAGTCCTAATCCGAGCAATTAGGCAAGAAAAAGAAATCCAAACAGGAAAGAAAGAAGTAAGAATATCTCTGTTTGCAGATGACATGATATTATATGCAGTAAACCCTAAAGACTCAACACAAAAACTGTTAGAACTAATAAATAAATTCAGTGAAATATCAGGAAACAAAATCAACATACAAAAATTAGTTGCATTTCCCTGTACTAAGACTGAACTATCTGAAAAGGAAATTAAGAAAACAATCCTGGTCAGGTGTGGTAGTTTGCACCTGGGAGGCCAGCACTTTGGGAGGCCAAGGTGGGTGGATCACCTGAGGTCAGGAGTTTGAGACCAGCCTGGCCAACATGGTGAAACCCCGTCTCTACTAAAAACACAAAAATTAGGCAAGTGTGGTGGCACATGCCTATAATCCCAGCTACTTGGGAGGCTGAGGCAGAAGAATTGCTTGAACCTGAGAGGTGGAGATTGCAGTGAGCCGAGATTGTGCCACTGCACTCCAGCCTGGGCAACAGAGTGAAAGAAGGGAGGGAAGGGGAGGGGAGGGGAGGGGTCCTATTTCCAATAGCAGCAAAAAGAATAAAATACCTAGGATAAACTTAACCAAGAAGGTTTAAGATTATTCACTGAAACTGAGGCAACATCAATGAAATAAATTAAAGAAAACATAAAAAATGGAAAGATACCCTGTGTTTGTGGACTAGAAGACAATATTGCTAAAATATCTATACTACCCAAAGTGATCTACAGGCTCCATGCTTTCCCCATCAAAATCCCAAGGGCATTTTTTACAGAAATAGAAAAAAAAAATACTAAAATTCTCATGGAACCACAAAAGACCCCAAAAAGCCAAAGCAATCTTGAGAAAGAAGAACAAAAATGGATGCATCACACTTCCTGATTTCAAAATATATAACGAACCTAGAGTAATCAAAATAGTATGTTACTGGCGTAAAGACAGACATATAGATCAATGGAACAGAAGAGACAGTGGAGCAATAAATTCATGCATATACAGTCAACTGATCTTCAACAAGCGTGCCAAGAATATACAATGGAGAAAGGTTAGTCCCTTGATAAATTATGCTGCAAAAAATGAATACTTATATGCAAAAGAATGAAATTGAATGCTTACTTTATACCATATAAAAATCAACTCAAAGTAAGTTAAAGACTTAAATGTAAGACCTGAAACTATAAAATTCCTAGAATAAAACATGGGGCAAAACTTTATGATATTGGTCTCTGCAATGATTTCTTGGATGTGACACCAAAAACATAGGCAACAAAAGCAAAAATAGGCAAGTGGGACTACATCAAATTAAAAAGCTCTGTGCAGCAAAGGAAACAATCAACAGAGTGAAAAGGCAGCCTATGAAATGGGATAAAATATTCACAAACCACATATCTGACAAGGGTTTAATACCTAAGAGATATAAGGAACTCCTACTACAACTCAATGGCAAGAAAATAAACAAATTTAAAAATGGGCAAATGACTTGAACAGGCATTTCTCAAAAAATGACATAAAAATGGCCAACAAGTATATGAAAAGTTGGTCAACATTGCCAATCATGAGAGAAATGCACATCAAAAATACAATGAGATATCACCTCACACCTGTTAGGATGACTATTATCAAAAAGACAAGTGCTGGCAAGGATGTAAAGAAACTGGAACCCTTGTACACTGTTAGTGGAAATGTAAAATGTAAAATGTTGTAGCTGCTATGGAAAGCAGTATGGAGATTGGATTAGTCCATTTTCATGCTGCTGATAAAGACATACACAAGACTGGGTAATTTATAAGGAAAAAGAGGTTTAATGGACTCACAGTTCCACATGATGACGGTGGAAGGCAAAAAGGACATCTTACATGGTGGCAGACGAGAGAATGAGAACCAAGTGAAAGAGAAAACCCATATAAAACCATTAGATCCCATGAGACTTATTCACTACCATGAGAACAGTATGGAGGAACTGCCCCCATGATTCAATTATCTCCCACCAGGTCCTTCCCACAACATGTGGGAACTACGGGAGCTACAATTCAAGATGAGATTTGGGTGGGGACACAGCCAAACCATATCATTCTGCCCCCGGCCCCTCCCAAATCTCATGTCCTTACATTTCAAAGCCAACCATGCCCTCACTATAGTCCCCCAAAGTCTTAACTCATTTCAGGATTAACTCAAAAGTCCACAGTCCAAAGTCTCATCTGAGACAAGGTAAGTCCCTTCTGCCTATGAGCCTGTAAAATCAAAAGCAAGTTAGTTACTTCCTAGATACAATGGGGGTACAGGCGTTGGATAGATATACCCATCCCAAATGGGAGAAATTGGCCAAAATGAGGGGGCTAAAGGTCCCATCCAAGTCCAAAATCCAGCAGGGCAGTGAAATCTTAAAGCTTGAAAATGATCTCCTTTGACTCTGTGTCTCACATTCAGGTCACGCCGATGCAAGAGGTGGGTTCCTATGGGCAGCCCCACCCTTGTGGCTTTGCAGGGTACAGCCTACCTCCCAGCTTCTTTCAGGGCTGGCTTTGAGTGTTTGTGGCTTTTCCAGGCATACGATACAAGCTGTTAGTGGATCTACCATTCTGGGGTCTGGAAGATGGTGGCCCTCTTCTGACAACTTCCCTAGGCAGTGCCCCTGTGGGGACTCTGTGTGGGGGCTTCAATCCCACATTTTCCTTCTGCACTGCCCTAGCAAAGGGTTCTCCATGAGGGCCCCACCCCTACAGAAAGCTTCTGCCTGGACATCCAGGAGTTTCCATATATCCTCTGAAATCTAGGCAGAAGTTCCCAAAACTCAATTCTTAACTTCTGTGTGCCCACGTGGAAGCTGCCAAGTCTTGGGGCTTGCACCTTCTGAAGCCATGGCCCCAGCTATACCTTGGCCCCTTTTAGCCATGGCTAAAATGGCTAGGATGCCGGGCACCAAGTCCCTAAGCTGCACATAGCAGGTGGGGGGGCCATTTTTTCCTCCTAGGCCTCTGGGCCTGTAATGGGAGCAAAGTTATCTGACATGCCCTGGAGACATTTTCCCCATTGCCTTGGTGATTAACATTTGGTTCCTTGTTACTTTTGCAAATCTCTGCAGCCGGCTTGAATTTCTCCTCAGAAAATGGGTTTTTCTACTGCGTCATCAGGCTGCAAATTTTCTGAACTTTTATGCTCTGTTTCCCTTTCAAAACTGAATGCTTTTAACAGCACCAAACTCACATCTTGAATGGTTTGCTGCTTAGCAATTTCTTCTGCCAGATACCCTAAATCATCTCCCTCAAGTTCAAAGTTCCACAAATCTCTAGGGCAAGGACAAAATGCCACCAGTCTCTTTGCTAAAACATAGCAAGAGTCACTTTTACTCCAGTTCCTAACAAGTTCCTCATCTCCATCTGAGAACACCTCAATCTGGACTTCATTTTTCATATCACTATCAGCATTTTGGTCAAAGCCATTCAACAAGTCTCTAGGAAGTTCCAAACTTTCCCACATTTTCCTGTCTTCTTCTGAGCCCTCCAAACTCTTCCAGCCTCTCCCTGTTACTTGGTTTCAAAGTTGCTTTTACATTTTCAGGTATCTTTACAATAGCTCCCTACCCTCGCAGTGCCAATTTACTGTATTAGTCCATTCTCATGCTGCTGATAAAGACACACCTGAGACTGGGTAATTTATAAAGAAAAAGAAGTTTAATGGACACACAGTTCCACATGGCTGGGGGTGGGGTGCCTCACAATCATGGTGGAAGGCAAAAGGCATGTCTTACATGGTGGCAGACAAGAGAGAGTGAGAGCCAAGGGAAAGGGAAAACCTCTTATAAAACTATCAGATCTCATGATATTTATTCACTACCATGAGAACAGTATGGGGAAACCATCCCCATGAATCAATTATCTCCCACTGGGTCCCTCCCACTACTTGTGGGAATTAGGGGAGCTACAATTCAAGATGAGGTTTGGGTGGGGACACAGCCAAACCATCTCAGAGATTCCTAAAAACATTAAAAATAGCACTATCATATGATCCAGTGATCCCACTTCTGGGTATATAGCCAAAATAACTGAAATCAGGATCTTGAAGAGATATTTGCACGCCCAAGTTCATTGCAGCATTCTTCACAATAGTCAAGATATAGAAACAACCTAAGTGTCTCATTGATGGATGAAAGAATAAAGAAAATATAGTCTATACACACAGTGGAATATTATTCAGCCTTAAAAAAGGAAATTCTGAAATACGTGACAATATAGATAAGCTTGGAGGACACTATGCTAAGTGAAATAAGCCAGTCACAGAAGGACAAATACTACATGGTCACACTTATATGAGGATTGTAAAATAGTCAAAACCATAGAAGCAGAGAGTAGAATCGTGGTTGCCAGGGGCTGGGGGTAGGGAGAGATAGGGAGTTATTACTGAACAAGTAGAAGGTTTCAGTTATGAAAGGTGAATGAGTTCTACAGATCTGTTGTACAACACAGTCCCTATAATTAACAATACTGTATTGTGCGCTTAAAAAATTTGTTAAGAAGGTGGATATCATGTTAAGTGTTCTACCACACAAACAAACAAAAACAACAAGGGGGCACAAGGAAACTTCTGGAGGTGACAGGCATGTTTATTCCCTGGATTGTGATGATAGTTTCACAGGTAATTGCATATGTCCAAACTCATCAAAATGTACACATGAAATATGTGTCCTTTTTAATATCAATTATGCCTCAAAAAAGCTGTTAAAACTTTTTCTGTCATCCTACCAGCTAAAGAGAAATTGGGCTCATGTCTTAAACCAGGAGTAGCATTAAGCAGGGGTGGACGGGTTGCCACTGCTACCTTT
Organism: Homo sapiens; assembly: GCF_000001405.40. Taxonomy (NCBI): domain Eukaryota; kingdom Metazoa; phylum Chordata; class Mammalia; order Primates; family Hominidae; genus Homo; species Homo sapiens. The sequence continues at coordinate 72,282,494 of NC_000014.9, read as the reverse complement.
GTGGCTCCATCTTGTCTTCCAACCCCTCTGTTAGTGGGATGCTATAGACTTGGAAACTGCAACTCTGTTAGAGTCAGATATTAAGGGATTTCTTATAATTTGGGCATTGCAAATGGTTCACGGAAACCTGTTACCTGAAAAGTGTAGCACACTGATGATCTGTCACAGTGACCCAAAAATTAATTAACGCTTATCACTTGGTACTTGGTCACAAAGAGATGGAAAGGGTCACATGAAGGTCAAGTATATTTGATAGAGAAAAGTGACTCGCAGGACCAAACAGCCATCACATCCATCTCTCACGGCTGCCACAACTCAAGGGTTCACACTGTAGCCAGGATCCTAGCAGCTTCTTTATTTTTACTGATATTCCAGAAGTTCCCCATTATTCCCCATCTTGTTCATTTCAAGTCTGGCATCCATGAATGATCCAATGCACAATAATCTTTAAAAAGAGCAAAAAGCCTACAGTTGCTCCATAAGTGATAGTTTTATAGCAGCCACAGTGATTTTTTAAAAAATACCAATGGCCTGTCACTCTCGCTTAAAATCTTCCGATGACTTTGTGTCTTCCAATACCTTGTGTCTTATATATTAACAAAATTCAGATTCCTTACTGTGGCCTGCAAGGACTTGCAGGATCTAGCTCCTTTCTACCTTTCCAGATGCATGAATTAACCAGGTCCCATTTGCTCAGCAACCTCCAGCCACTCTGATCTTCATTTTGTTCCCCAAGGACACCAAGCTCATTCTTGCCTTAGGGCCTTTGCTTGTGTGTTCCTTCTCCTAGAAAGGGCTTCCTCCAGATTTTCAGAGATCTGCCTCCTTCCCATTCCTCAGGTATATCTCAATAGTCTCCTCACAGAGGCCTTCCCTCACCAACCAGTCTAAAGAGATCTTCTCCTCCATCACTCGATCCCATCACCCCCTTTTATTTCCTCTATTGCATGTATTCCTCTAGTAGTAGAAACTCAGTATCATTTGAAGTCATGAAATACATGTGGCTAGTTCCCAGTGGTTTCTCTTGCCTTAAGAAAATTGTTTCAGGCCAGGCATGGTGGCTCATTCCTGTAATCCCAGCACTTTGGGAGGCCGAGGTAGGCGGATCACCTGAGGTCAGCAGTTCAAGACCAGCCTGGCCAACATGGAGAAACCCCAGCTCTACTAAAAATACAAAAATTAGCTGGGCATGGTGGCAGGTACCTGTAATCCCAGCTACTCAGGAGGCTGAGGCAGGAGAATCACTGGAACCTGGGAGGCGGAGGCTACAGTGAGCTGAGATTGCACCATTGCACCCCAGCCTGGATGACAGAGCGAGACTATGTCTCCAAAAAAAAAAAAAAAAAAAAAGAATCTTGTTTCACTTCTCACTTTTTAGCTTGCTACATATGCCTTATTTGTCCGTTAATACAGCATAACTATCTCTGTATTAATAGCAACCAATAACTTGCAGAACATGTATTCATTAGGGTCATGTTTACACTTCTTTTCATCAACTAAACATCTGCCTACATAGGATTTCCTAGTTTATAAAGTCATAACCATCTGTCCACATGAGATAATGTATTCTATTTAAGTTTTATAGTATATGAGGACTGTGGGCTTCTATTTTCTGTGGGACGAGGCATTTGGCCGTTTGAAGAGTGCTGGGCATATGGAGTCATATAAGACCTGGACTCAGTCTCACCTTTAACACTTGATAGCAAGAGGTCTCAGACAAGTAACCTCTGTTTCAGCATGTGAAAAAGGTAATAATAACTATCTCTCTGGATGAATGTGAATGTATGATTTCTATGATATTAGACAGTGAGAGATTAAATAATAAAATGTCTCTTCTGACTACCTTGCAAGTTCCACGAGAATGAGGACATTGTTTCTCTCTTCATTTCTGTGTCCCTAGTGCCGGGAATAGTGCCTAGCATAAGGTTAGTGCACACTACATTTGTTGAGTAACTACATTAGCCGTTGTTTTTCACAATTGTTCTGTGATATAAATATGTCATCACCACTTCATATGTGACAAGCCTGAGGCTAGACCAGATTGGCCAGCATGGCACAGCTGAGACATACATTTTCTGTACCATGACTTGGAGGGAATCAGGTGCTATAAATTATACATGTGATTTCAAGGGTCATTCAGGCTACATCTTTTACTTTGTAGAGTTTTAATTCTAAAACAAGCCTTGTTGATTGCTTTCTATCTCTATTCCCTATTATTTTAAAAACCTATTCACTTTTTCTGATGCTTATGGTAATACTTCAACTGTCTGGTTCCAAATTTATCCACTGCCCTCAGCTCCCATAAAAAAAAAAAATAAGACCTCTTCCTTTTTCGAAAGAAAACCCAGGTAAATACCTTTAGAGTTTGGCCTGGGGTGGGGGCGTGGCGGTGGGGACCATGCTGACTTCACAACCCCTGCCTCCAATAATGATAAGCAGGAATACATGTTAATAATTTTTATGTGCATCAAACACAGTACCCTGTAGTAGTAGAAACTCAGTATCATTGAGTCCGTGAAATAAATGTGGCTAGTTCCTACTGATGTTCTCTTGCTCTAAGAATCTTGTTTGATCTCTCACTTTTTAGCTGGCTCCACATGCCTGATGCCCTGCATTAATACATTCTAGCTATTCAGTTCTTTTGCTTTTCTTTGTCTTCTCTATTCTACACTTCTATACCCTATACTTAATAAAGGCATCTATCTCAATTGCCACCCTTGTCCTTTCTTTGTCATTCTCATGTCTTTAACTCTGAACCAACACCCCATCGCCAAATCACTCTTCCTTTATTTACACCACTGTCCTTTTTCATCAACAGAGATCCCTTTCTAGATCAGTTTCTAGGCCACTAACTGTTCATCCAAGTACAGCTAATGGCTCTCTTCTCCCAACCCTGGACATAATTTCTCCTTAGAGTCTGTGGTGGCTTTGTAGCATGTCAACGTGGCTGGACTCAACTAGATTTCTCAGAATCTCCTGCCTTATATATTTCTGAGCAGAGTAGGCCAAAGAGACCTTCTTATGGAGGATCTGGAAGGCAGAAGTGCCACAGTGGATTGGGTGTGTGAGCTCACATACCTCGTCACTTATCTGCTGCTCACCTCTTTGGCAGGCAACAGCAGCTGGGCCCACGCTGCCCCACCTTCCACTAGACTCTCTTCCAGCTTCTTCCATTTCTGGGCCTGTCCTACAATTAGCTCCATGATGAGAGATGCCAGCATCTCCTCCAGGATACATACATCAAGGTCAGAGGCAGCAAGAACTGATCTGAGTTTCAGTCCAACCTCACAGGTTCCCACTTCTGCTTGTAGGTTCCAGCTTTTTCCTGTTTCTCAAAGTTTACATCTGTCATGGACTGCAATTCATGTCCCTGCAAAATTCTTATGTTAAAGCCCCAATCCCAATATAACTGTCCTTGGAGATAGCGCCCTTTACAGAAGTAATTAAGGTTAAGCGATGATAAGGTAGGGTCTCAATCGGATAGGATGAGTGTCCTTATAAGTGAAGACACTGGAGAGCCTGTTCTCTCCACATGTGCACAAAGAAGAGGTCACGTGAGCACACAACAAGAGGGCACTGCCCACAGCCAGGAAGTGGGGAATCACCAGAAACCGAACCCTGCAAGACACTGATTTTGGACTTCCAGCCTCTGGAAGTATGAGAGAATAAATGTGTGTTGTTTAAGCCACCTAGTCTATGGTACCGTATTATGCAGCAGGTGCCAACTGAGACAACATCTGATTTCCTATCCTACAGACTTCAAACTCCAGCATCTGTACCAGACAATGGCTTAATGAAGATGGCAGACCAGCTCCCATGATTGTGTAAGGCCACGTTCCTGTAACAAATTCCGTATTTATTTCTAAGTATATAAAACATATATAAATGTATATGTATGTACGTGGCTATATAAACCCACACACACACTTCCTAGTGAAGTTCCCTGAAAACAGGCATCAAATCATGCAACATATTGTTGGCATGTGCTGTTTGCCTTAACTGCCATGTGTCTCCTAAGCAATACATATTCCCAGTGTGGTGAGCAAAAACAACTCTCACTGTCAATGTCTGTAGGAAAGCAAGCCCAAAGCAAAGTGAGGTCAGCTAAGTCTGCTCTTGACATCCTTTCTAGGTTCTCTTCTCATCTGCCTCCCCAAACCCCTCACCATGAGCCTGTAAATCAGTGTTTTTATTTTGCCTCTTTTTCTATCAAAACCAAATTGTTTCTGGACAAGGTGTGTCATTTGGACACAACTGTTTTGAAAATTCAGGAATCGTTGAAGGATGCTCAGAGATTCATAATACATGTTTGTATGTTAAAGATAACACCAACTGACTTTCAAACACCCGAATAATCTGTAAAGCCCCTCTCTCTGGCCCCCACTTGTACCTCCAGACCCTACCATTTTCTTTTCCCATTCTGCCCCATCCTCCTATCAAAGGACACTGTCCACTGTCCTTTACTTTCATGGACTGGGCTAAATAAGTACTTGGGCCACATAGCTAGGATATTAGGGGTGGGGGAAGTAGACAGTAGAGGATTTTTATTTTATTTTATTTTATTATTTTGAGACATAGTCTCGTTGTCGTCCAGGCTGGAGTGCAGTGGCATGATCTTTGCTCACTGCAACTTCCACTTTCTGGGTTCAAGAGATTCTCCTGCCTCAGCCTCCCAAATAGCTGGGACTACAGGTGCATACCACCAAGTCTAGCTAATTTTTGTATTTTTGGTAGAGACGGGGTTTCACCATGTCGACCAGGCTGGTCTCAAACACCTGAACTCAAGCAATCTGACTGCCTCGGCCTCCCAAAGTGCTAGGATTATAGGCAGGAGCCACTCACTGCACCTGGCCTGGAGAGTAGAGATTTTTAAATTTAAAATTTTTTTTTTTTATTTTTTAGATGGAGTCGCTCTCTGTCACCAGGCTGGAATGCAATGGTGCTATCTCGGCTCACTGCAACTTTTGATGCCCTAGTTCAAGCAATTCTTCTGCCTCAGCCTCCTGAGGAGATGGGATTACAGGCACGTGCCACCACTCCCAGCTCATTTTTTGTATTTTTAGTAGACAGGGAGTTTCACCATGTTGGCCAGGATGGTCTCGATCTCCTGACCTCATGATCCGCCCGCTTCGGCCTCCCAAAGTGCTGGGATTACAGGCGTGAGCCACCGCACCCGGCTAGTAGAGATATTTAAAAGGCAAACAATGGATGCTTGAGTCTGCAAGGGGCTCATAGTAAACATCAATGAGCATAGTACCAGGAACAAAGAGGCCTCCTCTGATGCACCTGCTATTTTAAACTATTGTGAATGCACCTGGAAGAGCCCAGCTCCAGCACTGCTCACAAACCTTCCAGCTTGCCACCACTTGCAGTGTTGAGAGAAAGTGGACTCTGGGACACTGAGGGAAGTTGTTCATTCATGCATTCAATTCAATATGTATGGATTGAATACCTCCTACATCCCAGGCACCATTCTAGGCACTTAGGAGAAATCAGTGCACAAAAAAGACAAATATCCCTGCCTTCATGGAACTTGTATTCTACTGGGAATGGACAGCCAAAAAAATAGTAGAAGTTGGATATTTAAATTTTACTATAGATCAGTGTTTCTCAACTTTTTTTTTTTCAATATTGTATTAGTCTCTTCTCATGTTGCTAATAAAGACATATCTGAGACTGGGTAATTTATTAAAGAAAAAAGAGTTTTGATTGACTCACAGTTCTACAGGGCTGGGGAGGCCTGACAATCATGGTGGAAGAGCAAGGAATATCTTACATGGCAATAGGCAAGAAGGAAAATGAGAAGTGAAAGCAGAAATCCCTTATAAAACCATCAGATCTCATGAGACTTATTCACTACCACGAAAACAGTATGGGGGAAACCACCCCCATGATTCAATTATCTCCCACCAGGTCCCTCCCACCACACATGGGAATTATGGGAGCTACAATTCAAGATGAGAGTTGGGTGGGGACACAGCAAAACCATATCAAATATCACCCTAAGGAGGTTTTTTAGACATTTTTTCCCAACTACCTCCATATGAAATTTTAATATCACAGATATATATATCAATCTATGTGCTGCATGTATATTCTGCAATTTATTTTTTTAAAGACTTTTTTCACCACTCCCAACCCAGAACCAATTTTGGCTCCCTTAGGGGGCTACATTGCCCCCATTGAGAATACATGCTGTAGACCCTCTCCTTCCATTAATTTTAAAAAGTTGGCTGCTTGGATAGTTTTAGATGAGGAAAGATATGTTCAGTGTATGGGAGTAAGGTATAATTTTTTTTTTAAAGCATTCATAATGTGTCAACTTTTGTGCAAAAAGTGATAAGGTAGCATGAGCTTTTCTACATAAAAATGCAAGTTTCAATGAACAGTCCATGTTTATTTATGGGCAGACATGTACCCAGCAGCACACCCTCACTAATGGTTAGAATATTGAAATTAAAAAGCTCTTAAGTGCCTCCTTCCCCCAATTCTGCCCTGCTACCCAGTCCCAGTCCCCAAAGTCTCATGGGATAGAGAGGTCTAGACGTTGGAGAGAAGTTTTCCCCTTGTGCTGATGCTGGCTTCCTAATGGAAAGATGCCAGCTAACCCTCTCCTGTGAGGTACCCTCCAAAGCTGCTCATGGGAAGTAGAGACTCTGCAATATATACTACACTTTGGTTATAATTTTCCAATATGTTCCTTACATATAGGCAAGGAATTAACTTAGAAGCTCAAATAACCCACATATGAACATTAGAGTTGGGAGGAAATAAGCGAGAGACACTGGTAGTGTGTGGAAGGACAGAAAGAGAAATGGGATGCTTGTACCCAGAATGGCCACTAAGAATGTTTTATGCCAATAGATGCTATAGATTATGTAGGAATCCTGCCTACAGAAATAGAATAATTGAGGCTTTAGCCTCTATGTAATTAAGACTATAGACATTGATTCCCTATGCTACATAAATTGCCAGGTTGTAAGCTTTTGAATCTGTAGCCTGGATTTCAGTTCCCCCTACTGTGAAACCAATGGCCCATGAAGCTTTGTTGTAGAGCTGTCTTTTGATCTTCGTACCCAATCTTCCAGTGTATACTTAGTCCCTTCAGCTATCTGAAATGCCTCATGAACTAGCCTAACTTGGTTCTGGGGACTATCCACTGAGATAGCATGTGGCCTGAATTTGTTAGTATTATGGTTATTAAGTGACTAAAACTGCCATCTCCTTTTAACATTTCTAATTATTGTGTCATTTAATCACAAAATTAATATGTGTTCATTAAAGATATTTTTTAGAAAATCAGAAAAGTGAAATAGTAATGCTACCTTCCATATATAACTATCATACAAGACAAATGAGCACTTTGTAAACTGCAATATAAAAGAAAAATACCATAGCAGACAAGCTGACCTACCCAAAGATGATCATACAGTGGTTTGTGGCATTTGTTGGAACCAGGGTGACAAACTTTCACTCTGGTGGGTGGAGGTAAGTGTTTCATTGAAGGAAGTAAATATACTGTTGTTCGTTAACCCCAAAGTAGTTGATCATGAGTAAAGGAATAAGATAAACTGTATTAGTTTCTGTCTGCTGTTATAACAAATTATCACAAACTCAGTGACTTAAAGCAGCACAAATGTATTATTTTATACTTTTGGAGGTCAGAAGTCCTCGGATGAGTTGGCAGGGGTGAGGTCCTTCTGAAGTCCCTGGGAGAGAATCCACTTCCTTGCTTGGTCTAGTCTCTAGAGGCTGTCTACACTGTTTGGTTCATGGCTCCCTGCCTCTATCATTACAACTTCTTCTCTGACTCTGACCCTCCTGTCACCCTCTTATTGATTACTTTGAGTCCACCCAGATAACCCAGGCCAATCTCCATATTGTAATTCACTCACATTTTCAAAGTCTCTTTTGCCACATAAGGTAACATATGCACAGGTTCTGGGCATGTGAATGTGGGCATCTTTGGGAGGCCATTATTTGGAGGCCCAGCCTTGGGCCTGAAGGAGGGAACCGGCCCTGTGGTCTTTGGGTTCATGCTAGGGGGCCATGGGAGGAAGGCAGTGATGCCAGAGGTGCGGGTTGAGCTGCCCTAGTCATGTCACTGATGACCTGATGGCACAAAGCAGGACCCCAAGCCCTGGATGCAGCACTAGTGGTTGGAGAGCCCAGGGGTATGCACCTGAGTTCCAATCCCACCAGACCTAATAGACTCTAGCAGAGGATGAGCCTACCTTTGAGCTCAGAGGGGAAAGCTATTTCCGGAGCCAATGATGAATAGTGCCAGAACCTCTCCTATCCTAGTACGTGGTCCTGGTCACTGTAGATCTGCCTGGAGGAAATAGAGTATCTAATGTACCCCTTACTGGGTGTGGCATGAGAAGAAATGACTCCCTTCCTCAGATTTCCAAGAATGATCTGGGCACAGCCACCATCTCTGTGGACCGTCCTAGCCTGGAATTAGCACTGTTTCCTAGTGAGGAAATACTGTTCATTTGAGAACCATTGAGCAGAAACAAATGGTTCTAAATCACTCTACACACCTGAGCAGGGAATGCCTCTTCTTTTGCAGCTAGGCACATTTGCATGCACATTCCGGAGGAAATTCCACTTCTATCTGCACATACCGGGGTCAAGGGCATCCTTTCTATACCTTTCTTTATTGATAGCTTTTGCAAACGGATGCAGCTCCATGTACCTGCCATACTTACTATTTTCAGATCTGCTCACAGCCACCCAAAGATCTTTCTTGAGCAACTACAAAGATGACAATTCCTAGGTATTCTTTCAGTCTGCTCTGGGGGAGAAAAATTACAAGAGCTTATACTCCAGGCACTAGAAGCCATTAAGTGAAACTAATGCCTTCATAAGGCAAGAATGTTTATCAGCTGCTGGTAACCATATTTCCTCCCATCTTTTATTACTTTAAATCTTAATAGGGCCCTTGCACTATTCAACAGCTTATCAATGCCAGCAGCACAGTGTCGTTTATTTCCTATGTATATACCACCGATTGCCCCTGCTGTCCACACTTATGCTGTGTTAGCTGTTGACCCAATTTAATGCCTAGCTGGAAACTTTCCACACAGCTGTGATTAAAGAGGGAAAAAAATGAAAGAAGAGGTGATTCAGTTACTTGCATATGTATAATTCTTTGATTAAAGAAAAAAAAAGGTGGTGAGGGAGGAGATTGTCTAATGACCCACATACATATAAGTTCTTTTTAGGCTCAAGTTTCTTACCCATAATGCAAGCTTTGAAAGCCGGAATCAACTTTCTCAAGTCACTGTGGAATGCTCACTTTCAATTATATGTGAACCCGTACATCTCCAAGTCAATTTTCTTTCTTTCTTTTTTTTTTTGAGATGGAGTTTTGCCCTTGTAGCCGAGGCTGGAGTGCAATGGCACGGCCTCAGCTCACTGCAACCTCCACTCACTGCAACCTCAGCTTCCCAGGTTCAAGAGATTCTCCCGCCTCAGCTTCCCAAGTAGCTGGGATTACAGGCACCTGCCACCACGCCCTGCTAATTTTTTGTATTTTTAGTAGAGATGGGGTTTTGCCATGTTGGCCAGGCTGGTCTCAAATTCCTGACATCAGGTGATCCACCCGCCTTGGCCTCCCTAAGTGTTGGGATTACAGGCGTGAGCCATTGCACCTGGTCTCCAAGTCGATTCTCTTAAAGCTGATATTTCAACTGTAGAGCCATAATTTTATCTCTAATTCATCTAATTCATTTACCTAATTCATTCATTACTCTTTTGGCATAATTTCCAATGTAGGGGGAGAAAAGACTGGTAGTGAACACTGCATTACAATGATCAAGGACAGGATGATGGGGCTGGGCCCAAGAGAGAAATAAAAGGGCACAGACACCGAGCTGTATATTACACAACATTCTGTATCTTATTTCAGGATTTTGATGCTGAAATAATGGCACTGCATTTTCCACAGGCTAGCCTCTCTCCATTTCCAGTACATTCCCTGTAGAAATTGAGAGCCATGGAAGGCTAGAGGATGAAAGAGGATTTGAGAACATCTAACCACAACCTTGATTTTTTACAGAGGCCCAGAGCAGTTCAACAACTTGCCTACTGACACTCAGTAGTCTGTTTGAAGGAGAGAAGCTAAAATCCAAGTCTCCTGATTACCAGGCAAGTGCTATTTCCATAAAACATGCTGTCCATCTTTTCCCCTTGATTAAGTCACCTCAATTGCATTGAGTATGGTGATATGAAGTCACTGTTGGCAAAGGCCAGCTAACCCTCTTCACTCCTGAGCCCAGAGTACACATCTCTGGTACTTATCTGATTTATCAAAAAAATCAGTGCCTTTAGAGATGGATGAGGGTTGGTGGTAGGAAGAATAATTTCCCCACCCCAATACATCCACATCCTAATCCCCAGAACTTGGATATGTTCAGCTACATGGCAAAAGGGAATTAAGATTGCTTAGAATTAAGGTTGTCAATTGGCTGTTCTTAAAATAGGAAGATTATCCTCGATTATCCCAGTGGCCCCAGTGCCATCACAGAGTCCTTAAAAGTGGAAGAAGAAGGCAAAAAAAAAAAAAAAAAGTGATGCTGTGTTAAGGAGGACTCAACTACTGCTGCTGGCTTTGAAGAAGGGAAGGGGCAAAGAGCCAAGGAATGCCAGCGGCCTCTAGAAGTTGGAAAAGGCAAGGAAACAGATTCTCCCCTAGAGCCTCCAGAAAGGAATGCAGCCTGTCACCCCTTGCTTTTAGCCTATCTATTTCAGATTTCTGACTTCAGAACTGTGGGATAATATATTTACATGGTTTTAAGCCATTAAGCTTGTGGTAATTTGTTACAGCAACTGTAGAAAACTAATACAGAGTTGGAATGACTGCTCACAAATCCATCGCAGGTTAAAATGCTGTGCTCTTACAGGAAAGATGTGGCACCATTCTCTCACAGGCTCATTTGACTACTGACCAAGTCTGAACTTGGTCATGTCTACAGTGGTTGATATGGTTTGGCTGTGTGCCCACCCAAATCTCATCTTGAATTGTAGCTCCCATAATTCCCATGTGTCGTGGAGGGACTCAGTGGGAGGTAAGTTAATCATGGGGGTGGTTTTCCCCATACTGTTCTCATGGTAGCGAATAAGTCTCATGAGAGCTGATGGTTTTATAAATGGGAGTTCCCCTGCACAAGCTCTCTTGCCTGCCACCATGTAAGACGTCCCTTTGCTTTTCTCTCAACTTCTGCCATGATTGTGAGGCCTCCCCAGCCATGTGGAACTGAGAGTCCATTAAACCTCTTTCCTTTATAAATTACCCAGTCTTGGGTATGTCTTTATTGGCAGCATGAGAACAGATTAATACAGTGGTGAAACGAGAGGAACAATATTAATGAGGTACAATATTTCCTCACTCTCTCCTTCCTCTGGCCTCTCAGACACATGGCTGATGCTGCTTCTCTTGCACTGTAATAATCTGAACAAAAGGCATGGGTTTCAAGACCACAATTTGCTCATCTTTTTAACCCCACTGACTAACATAATGCTTGGCATATAGTAGGTGGTCAATAAATCTTTATGGAGCTGAAATGCATGACAAAAGGGAATGCCCCATGTCTTCTGCACTTCCCCTAGAGATATGTGCACAGAACAGAACATTTTAAAAGGAATTCTACTTAACTTTCGGTGCATTCAAAAGTTTTTTGTGGCAGAATGAGGACTTGGGAAAAGGTGTAACTGCGTGAAAGGTAGAAAATCATGGCCTTTGATGTATTATAAAATTCTTTAATGACTCATCTTCCCAGCTGCCCAGCAACAAATGAAGATGTATTTTCAGTCCTGGTTGACAGGCAGCACTGGAAGTCCAAACTATTGTTGCCACAGTGGAACAGCTTGTCACAGCAGCATAATTTATTCTCTTTCTCTGAAAGCCTGGCACAAGATTTGCAACTGAAATTGCTTTTGTTTAAGACTCAACTAATGCCGCCAACCACACCAAAATGTGTAGTCACTGTGTGTGTCTGGCTGCATGTTAATTGTAGCAACGTCCTCAGGTGACATCTGAAAGGCTGGACACCACATCAGAGTCTTTGCCAGTTGTCCTTTCTCCCATCCTTTCCTATTGGCAGTTCCTGGGATTATGCTGTTTTATTTCCTCTTTCTTTCTCTTCTCCCTACCCTAGAGGATTCCATTTGTTCTGACTGTCATCCAGTCTCATGCTTTTCTGCAGACCAATACTGTGGGCATGAACCTCGTTTTAGTCCATGGCTGAGTGCCAGAAGAGTTGTACATGGCTGAAATCTTGCAAACAAGAGCATTCTGAACGCAAAGAGGAGCACGTGGCATAGGGGAATTTGATCTAGATCCATCCCCATTTGTCAAGGTCTCCTCTACTAGCACCTCCTCCAGGAAGCCTCTCTAGAATTTCTGCCAAATGGTTCTCTGTGCACAGGGCTTGAGTTGCAAGTTTTATTGGCATGTGTTGTACGCTGCTACAAATTCTAGCTTTTTGTTGTATCCCCCCTTCAAAACGTAAACTTCCTGAGGGCAGGACATATATGCTATTTTTAACTTTTTATCCTCTAATTTCCTGGGAGAATTGTTTACATGAGGAACTAAGCCCATATTTGATGCATTAAAGCTATACAAAGGCTGGGTGCAGTGGCTCACACCTGTAATCCCAGCACTTTGGGAAGGCCAAGGTGGGCAGATCACTAGAGGTCAGGAGTTCAAGACCAGCCTGGCTAGCATGGTGAAACCCCAACTCTACTAAAAATGCAAAAGTTAATCAGGCATGGTGGTGGGTGCCTGTAGTCCCAGCTATTTGGGAGGCTGAGGCAGGAGAATCCCTTGAGCCCGGGAGGCAGAGGTTGCAGTGAGCCGAGACTGTGCCACTGCACTCCAGAGAGAGACTCTGTCTCAAAAAAAAAAAAAAAAAAAAAAAAAAATTTAAGATAGGTTTCACTGTAAAAACATTTCAGTAAAGACATGAAGGAGGTAAGGGTCTCAATCATGCAGTCTCCTGGGATAAGAGTGCTTCAAGCAGAGGGAGTAGCATGGGCAAAGGCCCTGACTATTCAAGAGACAGCAGGAAGCCAACGTGGCTGGAATGGAGGGAGAAAGTGAGAAAGGAAGGCCAGAGATAACGTGGGCTAGGAGGCAAACTGCAGTACTCTAAGGACTTCCGCTTTTATCTGGAATGCAATGGGATTGCCCAAAGAATGGGAAAACAGTCACAAGTCTGATCTGGTTTATCTGCCTGTGTGTTGGGCATCAACTTTAGGGAAGTCAGGGCAGGGGCAGGATGACCAAGAAGAAGGGTATCACAGTGCTCCAGGAGAGAGATGATGGAGGCTTGGAGCAAGGTGGGTGGTGGGGGGGCGGAGGTAATAGATTCTGGGTATATCTTACAAGTAGAGCCAGCAGGGATTTATTGCTGGATTAAAAGATACAAGAGAAACAGAAAAGAAATCAAATCACACCAACACATTTGACAGAAGCAGGTGGAAAGATGGCACTGCCACTGACTGAAATGGAAAAGGCGGAAGAAAGAGAGAGATCAGGTCGAATTGCCAGCAGTGTGTTACTGGGCAAGTCACTTAACCTCTCTGAACCTAAAAGTCCCCCTCTGTATTTGGTAATGTCTATTTGCAGATGTGTCATAAGATTCAACCAGGATAATGTGTCAGGTGGAATATTTCTTGGTATAAAGCGCCTAACACTGAATATCATTATTGTCTTATGGGGCGGGATGGTACCACAACTGTTCTGCCTACCTGTCTCCCCTCTCCCAACCATTCTTTCTCACCTAAAGTCTCTTTCTCTCTCCCAGCACAGGGTGGATGAATCACTGCTGCAAAGTCCATTAGAAGGCACGAGTAGCTTATAGTAACTGGTGAATGAAATCCTATTTCGGGTGAAAATGACTGAAAAGTCACATGCGGCAGAGATGGTGCTAACCACATCCATGCAGGCTCTTTAACATTGATTTGTAAAGGAGAGAGGGAGGAAGTGAGGAAAATCCTCTGTGGGGTGCTGTTCCATTTCCCTCAGGCTGAGACACCTCCCAAGGGAGGAAGTTTCATTGCCTGTCAAACCCTGTGGGGAGGTTTTCATTCAAAAGTTGCTATGAAGTGAAATGAAATGAAATGAAATGAAGGAAAGAAAGAAAGAAAACATTACAGAATGGGAAAACAGGAGAACAGAAAACTCCCAATACCATACCTTTAACAACTCACATTCAGACTGCAGCTTGTTCTTCGGTTAACGAAAGAGGGCCTCATGAGGGACCCGCCATGCTCCAGAAAGATGAGCTCCCCCGGAAGCACAGTGGGGTATTTCAAATGAGTGTTTCCTACAATGTGCTGGATGCAAGAATAATCGTCTAGACAAGTCAAAATGTCAGGAAAATTTCAACAAATACAATAGAAATATCTTAAAAACCATTTGTAGAATAATTGCGAGGACATGAAGGCACCTGAAAGTAAAGTCAGATCCTTCCAGTACATCTTCTAGGGAAATGCATGTACCCACACGAGTGTGTGAGTGAGTGTGCGAGTGTGTTAATAGGTATGTGTCATTCCCTGTCTCATCAATGACTCTGGAAACTAAAATAATGACAGAAATAATCATATTCTATGCTTTGGAGCAGAAATTAATTGGCTGTGAGGACAAAAATACATTTTTTTCTTTTATTAGGAATCACTAAAATACAGTAGGCTGAAAGAAGGGATTCAGCTCTGAGGAATATTCTAACAATGAGTCTTTCATTCTTCTCCCAGTTCAGGTAATTAGTTTCTCTGCTGGCTTTTAGGAAGCCATTTGCTCCATGGAGTTGGAATGGCAAAAAATATATTTGTTGCTAATGCTCCTAATGGTTTTCGTCTCTCTCCCTTGTCCTGTCAGCACCCAATCATGAGCTATACTTTCTGTTCTCTTTGCTGTAACTCTGAGCCTGGAATCCAGCTTTGAAAAATGCATTTGGTCTTTGGCAAGAACAGCAAAAAAGTTACTTGTCTGTAAAGAGCAAGATAGCAAGTATTTTTGGTTTTGCAGGTCATCTAATAATTGCTGTCACAACTACTCAACCCAGCTCTCACAGTGTGAAAGCAGCCACAGCTACCATGTACACGAATGAGCATGACTGTGTTCCAAAGAAACTTTATTTATGGACACTGAAATTTGCATGTCATTATAATTTTTATGTATCATGAAATATTATTCTTTTTAAAATCTATTTCCCAATCATCTAAACATATAAAAATTGGCTGGGTGCAGTGGCTCATGCCTATAATCATAGCACTTTGGGAGACTGAGGCAGGCGGATCACTTGAGGTCAGGAGTTTGAGACCAGCCTGGCCAACATGGTGAAACCCCATCTCTACTAAAAATACAAAAATTAGCCAGAAATCATTTGAACTAGTGAGGCAGAGGTTGCAGTGAGCTGAGATTGCACCACTGCATTCCAGCCTGGGCAACAGAGCAAGACTCTGCCTCACAAACAAACAAACAAACAAACAAAATATGACAATCGTGCTTAGCTCATGGGTAGTATAAACACAGGTGGTGGTGGCTGCTCACAGGTGGTGGACTGGGGTCAGCCTGCAGGCCACCATTGGCTAGACCCTGGTCTGAGGTGCTGCACCGCAGGATAAACTTGCCCTCACCCAGCCTGGCTGTGGGAACCACTCCTGGTCTTAGCCTTGACACAGCTGAGCCCTGGGGAGAAAGAGCAGTCCCTCAGCACTTCCAACCTGACACCCCTAGGAAGAAATCTAGAAAAGGCCATCAGTTTAGTTCAGAGCCCTAAGCTATGAGATCAGAAGAGGTATCCCCACATTGCTGCAAAAACCCTGATGCCCTTCTGAGAAAGTGGTTAGAGATGGAAACTTTCTTTCCTCCAACACTTTTCAATTCTTATTTCTTGAAACTTGTCTTAAGCGCCAAAAACTTATGAGACAGTTTAGGTTTGGAGAAAGCAATATAATCTTCAAGAACATTCGAGAATGGAGGAGGCACGTGTGGAAGATTAATAGTGGTGGCAGACTTTGTTGTAACACACAGAGAGGTGGGGGCTAGGTAAAAACTGGGAGGACGGCATAACTGTGCAACCACCGAATACAGCAGAGAGGATCCTGGGCCCAGGCTTAGGAGGCTTGGCCACTTACACTTCCTTTCTCTAGAAATGCTCACTCTTGTGGAAGCCAGCTACCTGAAAGAGGTCTGACTACTTTGAGACCACCATGTGTGGAAGCCCCAGTGGACACACCCAGCTGAACATGCCTTCCAGCCATCCCACCAAGGCGCCAGGCATGTGAAGCCATCTTAATCACCTCCAGTTCACCCATCTGCCCAGTGAAAGTATCCAGCGACCCCCTTCAATACAGCGAGGAGCAAAAGAATTTCCCAGCTGAGTCCGGCTGGAATTCCCGATCCACAAAATCATGAGTGATGATAGGGAAACAGTTTACTGTGTTAAGCCGTTAGATTTGGGGATAGTTTGCTATAGAGCATACATAAACAGAACAGCAAGTATGAGGAGCTGTACACCTCCCACCTGCCTCCCGCCCCCCCCCCCAAAAAAGCGATAGGACTGATAGTTAGAGAAGGAAAAGGTTAATAAAGGCTGAAATTGTTGGGGAAAGGTATAGAAAAAGGAAGAAACCGGAGGCTGAGGGAGCAGAAAAGGGAGGCTTTGCACAGGCAGCTTGGGGAAGGCCAGGAAAGTGGATGGAAGCAGGGCTCTAGCTCAGGTAGGGATGTACATGTATGTGTGAAGAGTGGGGTGTGGGAAGGAGGGAAATGGTTAAGAGACTCTTAACAAGGAGAGCTACTGTAATGACACAGGCAAGCCACTTTGGCTCTCCGTGAATATTATGTGCCTTGTGGCCATTGGGTAGCCGTCAGTAGTTAGCGGCAGGTGGTGATGGTAGAGTTAATGGGAAGGGGGTGGTTGCAAGCTCTACCTCTAGCAACGTCACTACTAATGGGATGAGATCAAGCAGCCTGTCACTTAAAAACAGACAAACACGACAACCCTACAGCCTGTCTGTGGTTCCCAAGAGGTCTTCTCCACCCTTGAGGGCACTGACCAGTACCTGGCAGCACATGCTCCATTTAACCCCCAGGCCTGTGTCTGAGCCAGGTGGCAGGATTTCCCATGAAGCAAGGAGAGAGACACAGGGTCAAGGGGCTTGGACCCAAAATGCCGCATTGGCCACAGAGTTGCCTGGATTGCTGGTTTTCTGATCCGTCATGTATGCAAGGATGCCCAGCACCGTGTCACCATGCCCACCACACCCCACTAATTTAACACCACTAATTCAATCAAATCCAAAGTGTTTTTCAAATTAGGACATTTCACATACACTTAGCCAACCTGAAAATCTTCATACTGAGTATTTCCACCATCCTGAATTTTCACAATTCTAATGAGAAGACTATCCCCTAATTCCATTCTCCCACATTGATAACAGCTCATATGTGATCATTTGGATTTACCAGAAAATCCTTTAAGCCCCTCCTCCAACTCCCTCCTGGCAGGCATCAGGGAGAGGTACATCAAATTCATCCTGGACAGCTGCCAAGCACCAGAACGTGGTACCGAGAGGTTCCTGAAAGCATGGTATGTTGAAATACATCAAAGACTCTTAGAGCTGACAGATGGGATAACTGAGATATCGTGATGGGAAATGGTGACACCAGTTGGCAGGCGCATTAGCAAAACTAGAATCGATTCTGCCCTCTCAATGTCCCTGGGAGAGACCCAGGATTGCAAACTTGAAAATTCTCTTGAACTCCATGATTCTAAGTGGTAAACAAACTTATTTTTGGGTACTTAAACTGCATGTACTCCTGGTAAGAGTGTCCTCTAATTTATGTTCTTGAAGACAAAAGACTTGGAAAATCCTTTTATGAAAACCCCACAAAGGTTGTTACAAATAGAGAGTTGCAAACAAGTTTCAAGTTGACCTGATTTCTCTCTGTAAAAATCTTCTTTGGTGAGAGTACTTTCCTCTCCCGGAAAATAAGTTGTACTTTAAAGAAATGAACAAATAAAAATGTTTAATTTTATACATAGTGGCTTTCTAATTCTTTGCCCCCCAGTAACCACTCAAAGTGAAGATATTGGCTGAAAGTTTGTTCTTTATAGTTATCTACTCACACAGATTTACTTACATACTTTAAACTTTGGAAAGTGCTGCTTAAAGTGCTTTAAGTTAAAATGTTTCTTAAGTTTTAAATTTTATGGAGACCAGTCCTAGCTGCTGAGAGTCCAACAAAGGTAGCACTTAATGCATACAAGAAAATATAAATTCGGGATCCCTTGTTTACAATTCTGAAATTACGAAAAGCCCTGAGAACAAACCTTTCTCGTAATGTGTTTGGTGACAAAACCTGACCTGAACTGATATAAGGCTACTATTGATTTTCTTTATCCTACGTAGTATGAATGTTCACGTGTTTCTCTGCAGAAATGTTAATGAGATGGATTTCTGGGTGCTGTCCCAGACTCTGCTAAGGGTGTCAGTAAACAGTGTGTATACGATATGGCCTTTCTGAAATTAGAAACTGAGTTCCAGAACACACTTGACCCCAAGAATTTCAGGCAAGAGATGAGCACCTACATTCACATGAGATGGGTGACATTAGGTGTATTAGTCCATTTGGGCTGCTATAACAAAATACCACCAACTGGGTGGCTGATAAACAACAGACATTCGTTTCTCACAGTTCTGGAGACTGGGAAGTCCAAGATCAAGATGCTGGCAGATTTGGTGTCTGGTGAGGGCTCACTTCTTGGTTCACAGATGGATGGTGTCTTCTGTGTCCTCACATGGTGAAAGGGGTGAGAGACCTCTCTCAAGCCTCTTTGATAAGGGCACTAATCCCAATCATGAGGGCCCTGCCTCCATGACCTAATCAGCTCCCAAAAGACCTACTTTCTAATACTAGTACTTTGGGGGCTAGGACTTTAACATATGAATTTGGGGGGGACACATACATTTAGACCACAACAATAGGTATGCATAAGAGGATAGAGAAGGGGGAGGTTGGAGGAGGAGTGCAGAGAGACCACAGCCATCATGTCAACAGCCTGTGGTTAGCCAGGCTGGAGCCAAATCTCCAGGTGGTGACAAGGCTGGGTCGTCCGGAGAGTCTGCAGAGAAACACCAGCAAAGGCCAACATGACATCAGTTGACTTTCAAAAAGGTTCTGATGACCTTTAGATAGAATCTCTTACACATATAAAGATGAACTAATTTGGACCTTCTCTGGACTATCAATTATACAATTATACAAGTCACAAAGGACAAATAAGTTGTTTTAGCTCAGAAACTTAGAAGGGGAAGACTGTGGACATGCCTTACAGTTTGATCTGCCTGGAATCTTTCATTTGGTCCTCTCCCAGCTGTTGGGAATGCCAGCCCATAACCACCCAGATAGGCCCTGGGTCCAGGCTGCTAATATGTATCCCTAACCCAGGCGGGGGCAGTCAGAGTTGACTCTTGGGAGACAGTTTCTCTCCATTTAAAGCTGCAAATTCTAAGGGCCAGATCAGCCTGGAGCTGCCCCAGGTAATCAATGCCACCACAGGAAAAGGACCCTCCTGAGGAGGGGCCAACATGGGGGGACACAGAGCTCAAGGGGAGGACAAAGACCTGATGACATCGACCCTGGATCCAGCTGTGGCTGACATATCTGACCCTTGGCCATCTGCTATGTGAGCCAAAAAATATCCACTTTTGCTTCAGCTAGTTTGAGTTGAGTTTCGGTCATTTGGAAAAGAAAATTTCACAGGTAATTGGTTCTAAAAGTCTCTTAAATTTGGAGAATAAACATATTTTTCAGAAATGTCAACTTGCAGAAGAGAACACTTTTTAAGAATCTCTTTCTTCCTCTCTGTTATGGACTGAACTGTGTTCTCCCCAGGCCCCCAAATTTATATGTTGAAACCTTAATCCCCAATGTGAATATATGTAGAGATAGGCCCTTTAGGGAAGTTAACTATGGTCATAAGAGATGGGCCCTAATAGGTAGCATTGGTGTCTTTAGAAGAAGAGGAAGAGACGCCAGACAGCTGTCTCTCTCCCTCCCTTAAGTGCACAGAAAAGAGGCCACGTGAGGACACAGTGAGAAGGTGGGATTCTGCAAACCAGGAAGAGAGGCCTCCACCTTGATCTTGGACTTTCCAGCCTCCAGAACTGTGAGAAAATAAACTTCTGCTGTTTAAGCCACCCAGTCTGTGGTACTTGCTTACGACAGCCAAAGCTGACTAATACACTCCCTATAAGGTTTCTGAGGGAGCCAGATTGACAATTTGTCATGCTGTGAGGGTCACCTTCAATCCTGTATTCTCCACCGCTCTCCAAAAGGAACAGCTATGATGAGGCTGAATAGGAAACTAGAGGCTGCCTTCCAAAAACTGGAACTGTTAGAAGGTACTAGTGACTAATGCAATTAAAAAAAAAAAGCAATCCAAGATGTTGTAGGTTAATGTCTTCATATTTTATATAAATCATGAATTACAGTGATTTAATAACCTCATTTGAAATCACCATGACTAAAGATAAAAATCAAAACATAATTTTTAAATATTAGGTATCATGACTCAGAAATTATCTCTAGAACAGAGTCACCTTTGACATTAATTAACCAAGTAATTTGCTTTAATTCAACTGTAAAAGGAAATATTTTTCAAGTGAATTTTAGAAGAATATGATTTTGACTTTTGGCTACAAGACTTCAATTTTGAACAAGAAGCACCAAACCCCCCCAAAAATGGTTATAATACACAGAAGATGGCAAGAGAAGGTGCCTCCTTCTGTGGAGAGATTCATATTGGAATCTCAATGTCTCTGTATCGTGTGGGTTTGGTAACTGGTTCATTGAATGGTGGGGATTTAAGAATCTTTTTTTTTCTCATTATTATTATCTTTGACTTGTTCCAGTGGATCTCCATTCCCTGCAGCTGGACAGCTCAGGAAGACCCCATCATTTTTCCATCACTTTCACTTATAATAGCCTTATTTATGGAAACTAAGACTCACTCACTTACTAAAAGTATAGTAATTTCGTATCAAAACTTCAATCTCATATCCAACTCAAAGCTTTTCCCTCCTCCTTTTGTATGACCTGTAGTGGGGAAGGGACTGTAGCCTTTCCTTTTACCCTCCTCCTCTGCTTTCATTCTCTCCTCCATCACTCTGTGCCGTAGCTCTTCTCAGGTTAACACAGGGAAGTGACATCAGTGGTGAGGAAACGGAACATCTTCTTACATCAGGTCGTGCTGTTTTCAATTCTCTTGGCTACCAAAGTCAGCTGTGCAAGGCAGGCAGTCACATCCTGGGACCTTCACAGGGTGCATTTGTAGGTTCTTCAGAGGCCCACATGGACCCTCTATTCCAAGTTCCCTAGCATGGTGGAAGAACCATTTGACCAGCCTTTTGTGAGCCCCTCCCCCAAAACACACATCTTCTACTTCAACATACATGTCAGGGTTCTCACAGTCTGGGTTGCCTCAACCCAAAAGGCCACCTCTGGACAAGGAACCAGCAACAATTGCTCAAACTCTCTACCTTTCCTGATGTTGCTTGGCCCCACGAAAATGTACACATCTTTCTCTGCCAAATGGTGGAAGTTGAGCTTGTCAACCACTGAACATCTTTTTCTTTGCCTCACTTTCACAGGCTGCTCTAGCAACTTTGCATCTATCAAATACTGTATGTTGGAAGCATCTGTATATATGCTCACAGATCCCTAAAATCATCGCTGTGCTCCATTCTGATGGGCCTGGAGAGAGCTCCGCAGGCATCCAAGTGGGAAGTGAGATGCCAATCTCCCATGGTTGCCATAACCCCTATCTCTAGATCAGAGCTCTTCTCTCTTGGCTTGGGGAAAGGGTAAGAGCACTCATCTCTTCTCTCCACGGCAATGGGAGGGAAAATTCCCCAATACTCTTTATGAGGCTCTTCACTGAGATAACCCTCCACAATCTCCTCCTAGATCACCAGTCATCTCTAATGTTGGCTAGAGCTGTGATGGTGGCTGGTGGCCACAACACAACTTTGACATCTTTTATTAAACACTCTATATCCATGTCTAGCAGCATGTTTTAGAATATTAGATAATTATCACTCATTTTCAACTTTGGAGAATTCCTTCTGATAATTGGGAAAGCCCCATCCAACATCTTCATTGCAAATTACATTTCTGGAAAATTAGCAACTCAGCGCTCAAAACATCTTACCAAACTCAACAAGTCTAGAAGCCAAAGTGGACCTTGACAAAAATAACAACTTTACAAGGATTCACCTCTAACAGTAACGACTATTGTCACCAGATCATAGAGCCTAACAATCAAACTTTATACAGTTAAAAGCATACTTAAAACATGTCTTTCCTGTGATACTCTTTTCTGATGAAAATATATAGCTATGTAAATATTTAAATAAAATATTCTGAAATTTTTATTTGATTAAAGAGCAATTGGAATGGATACTCTGGGTAAACTACTTGCTAGGAGATTAGTTTGGAAGTTGAGGTTGTTTTAATTAGCTATTTGAGACTCTCGTTCATTAAGCTTTTTTTTTTTTTTTTTTTTTGAGACGGAGTCTCACTCTGTCACCCAGGCTGGAGTGCAGTGGCGCGATCTCGGCTCACTGCAAGCTCCGCCTCCCGGGTTCACGCCATTCTCCGGCCTCAGCCTCCTGAGTAGCTGGGACTACAGGCGCCTGCCACCGCGCCTGGCTAATTTTTTTTTTGTATTTTTAGTAGAGACGAGGTTTCACCATGTTAGCCAGGATGGTGTCGATCTCCTGACCTCGTGATCCACCCGCCTCAGCCTCCCAAAGTGCTGGGATTACAGGCGTGAGCCACCGCGCCCGGCCCTCATTAAGCATTTTTAAACCCTCAGTCATGATTTCAAAGTTCTAACAGTAACTTCAATATTCTAATTCTACATTTTTATTGTAGAACAATATTGTACAGAGTACCAGCATTTTCCCATATCAATCAATCCTCTCAGGGATTCTCAGCCTTATGAAGCGTACTGCTGAGCCTACTACAAGGATGCTGTAGAATAGGAGTCACTAAATCAGATGCCTAAATGCCAAGTAGGAAATAAAATGTAGTAAGTAAGGCAGTAGGGAATGGTGGAGACTGTGGCAAACCTGAAATCATTGCTACATTAAAAAAAAGCTGCTACACAGTGCCAATTAATTTTGATATATAGTTACAATATTAACTGATCATCTGATTTTGAAAGAAAACTTAAAAATGTTATTTTTGCAAAATCTGATTCTTTTAAATGTTGGATCAAACTTTTTAGACATCAAGCCTAAACAAAACAAAACAAAAATCCCAACAAATGGTGACACTGGTGGACTGCCAGTTTGCAACCTCTCTGTGTAGCAGACACTATAGGCTGTACCATGCAATGTCCTCTTTTGCAGACCCCTGAGGGTGGTCTCTCTCTGTTAAGTTACTAGGAAAAGGAATATTTTTCATGACTCCCTACTGTGTTCCCAATCTCGTAGACACCATGATTAAAGAAAATAAGGTTTCCATTTTCTCCTTGGCTGCTAGAGGGCACAGAAGCAAATTTGTGGCTCATTCCTAGCAAGCATATAGATCTGCACAAAAGGTACAACTTGTTAACCCCATTTTAGACCCTTTCCCCGCTTTTATCCCTCATCTACTTTTAATTTATGTTACCTTGCTGTATTTCATACAAACCCACAGGTCCACTTTAAACCTCTATAACACAACAGAGTATAATCTTCACAACAAGCCCTGTGAAACAGACATTATTTGTCCCATTTGACAAATGAATAAACAGAGGCTCTAGAAAATTAACTGGCTTGATAATTAATCAAGAAGCGTGAAGACCCAAGCTTTCTCTTCTGGCTCCAAGTCAAGTGCTCCATCGACTTTAAAAACAAACAATACAGTCTCATAGTAGAGATTTCAAATTCAGACGCAACCCAGACTTGGGTACTATAGAAGCTAGAGAGTGTCACCCAAAGTCACAGCATTGTAAAGGGGCACAATTCCCTAAAACACAGTGTGATCACTTTAGGAATGAGGCCCCTCGCACTTGTGCAGTACAGCATGCTCCTTCTGAAGGCATTCAAGTCTACTGTCTTCACAATGGCAACAAATTAATGGGCTAGACGTGGAACTGACACCCCAGTTTGAGAATCTGGCCAAATCTAACATGTGGACACACTACATAAATAATGTGATTCAAATGAGCCCTCTAAAGATTAAGTGGTGTATAGTGGTGTATACCATAGCATGTCCTGGAGGAGACCTCACTGTAATGTCATCTCTAAAATCTAGGCCATTGTGCAGTTTTATGAGTAAGACAGCCCAGATAAATCCTCTGGATTTTTCTGTAACCAAATCCCCAGAGAGTGCTCCAAAATGAATCTGCTGTATACAAAACTCTGCTCTTGACCTAGAATTGAATTATGGTGTGGTTCCAATGTATTTGGATTAAATTATAACTGCATAAGAACACACAATGTTCCCAGGTCTTAAGGAATTAGCTGTTTGAATTCAGTATTGTTTTTATTCTTAGTTTCTTTTCTTATAAACAATGCTAGAGCAGTGGTTTTTAAACTTGTTTAAGCAGTAGAACTCTTCTTTTCCATTGACTTCATGGAACTCCAGTGCTCTGTGGCCTCATGACACAGAGGGGGAGGCTTGTGGACTTGCCCTGGACAGGTCACCCTTCTTTGATCAGGACTGTTGTAAATCAGCTTGGCCCTTCCTCTCTCTGCTAGAAGGTGACCAATCCTCAGGGCTCCTCAGCTATTGTCTTACTAACGAGCCTACTTTTTGTTATTTTTTTCTTTGTTATTTTATATTAGATTCAGAAAGTATGTGTACAGGTTTGTTACATGGGTATATTGCATAATGGTAAGGTTTGGGCTTCTAGTGAACACATCACATAAATAGTGAACATTGTACCCAATAGAGAATTTTTTAACCCTCACTTCTCTCCCACCTTCCTCACTTTTGGGGTCCCCAGTGACATGCTCTTATACTTAGAGAAACCCAAAAGATTCCTGCAAAAGACTCCTAGACCTGATAAACGACTGCAATGAAGCTTCAGGATACAAAATTAACATAAAAAATCAGGTGCATTTCTATATACTAACAACACTAAAGCTGAGAACCAAGTGAAGAACTCAACCTCATTTACATGGACATGAAGATGGAAATAATGAGCCTGCTTTAATGTGATCCAAATGTTCATGGGAAACTCTAAAGCAGTTTTGAAGAATCTTAGTGATTCAAAGAACATGGCTCAAAAACTACTCTTCTTCAGGACATATTGTTAACCCAGTAATTGCCTGAGTGATTAACTATGAGGGATATTAAATCCCTAGAACAAATCAAAAACACAGTGGCTCCTTATCTTGGTTTTCACAGCAACTTCTAACACCACTGGCAAAAGTCTCACTGAAGTAGAAAGCATCTTCATGTAAAAACGTTTTAAAAGCACTCCTCTTGCAGGTGTCTACCCATCTCAATGACATGTTTTTGGGGTGCACATACATATTTCAGAGGATTACTGCAGGCCTAGCCCCAATCTCAACATCACTAAGTTGACAGCTGTCTGTAGTTATTTGTTGAATTCAAATGAAATTATACAACTGAGTAAAGCATAGCATACTACTGTTTACTAAGAGTGAGACCACCTTTCTAAAAATTATGACAATGACAGAAAGCTAGTCAGCAAAATAGCTCACTCCATTCTGCTTCTAACCTCCCAAGCTAACTCTTCTGGATATAGGCCAACCTAACTATGGGAGGAATTTAGTTTACAGTTTAATTTTAAAGCAAGGATGATAATAGCCCTTTCCCAAAACTAACCCCCTCCTTGTTTAGGGACTGAAAACCACCCTTGTAAAACTAATGAAAAGCGACAAGGTTAGAATTATGGGAGGGGCCTGAATTCTGCTAAAATGTAGGAGTAACTAAATGATAACCAACCATTGTCCCCTAGCTTGCTTTTCTATAATTTCTTACTGCTCAGGAGCCATCTAGCCAGAGGTCACATGATTGGTAATGCCCCCAAATTGCTCCTATAGATAACATCACTATTGTAAAACCTAAGATTGGTCTTTGAGATATTTTTCAGACTTTTGCATTCTGGCTACTGACTGACTCTACCTGGACCCATGACTCACACCAGGGAACTGACTCAACTGGTCCTGTGACTCCTACCCAGAAACTGACTCAGTGCATGAAGACCTCAATGATTTCATCTTTAACCAATCAGCAGCACCTATTCCCTAGCCCCCTGCATGCCATATTATCCTTAAAAACCCTAGCCTCTGAGCTCTTGGGGCAGTGGATTTGAGAAATGCCTCTCATTCTGTCACTTGACTGCCTAGCAATAATTAAATCTTTCTCGCTGCAACACTACTGTCTCAGTGCCTTGGCTCTGTCTGTGCAGCAGGCAAGAAGAACCACTGGGCTGTAACAAAAGCAAGTGGTTCATTATTTAAATTTAAAAACATTTAATATGCGTTCAAAGAAGTTGCACGTTTCTGAAATCACAAAGAAAAGCTAGAAAAAGGGGAAACATTTTACTAACATAAAAGCCAAAAAATGGGTATTTGAACAATACTTTCTTTCTAAGTTATCACTTAGTTCAATCCCTAGAGAATGTGAGAAACTTCTATTTAGTAAGAAGTGATAAAAAATGTGAAATGCAAATAAAAGTTTTCCAAATAAGCAAATGCTCTTTCATATATAAAGTAAATGGTATTTTCTTTGAACATAGAGAGGTATGCAATTTTTAGCAATAGAAAATCAGCCTCTTTGAAGCCCTCACGAAAAAGTATCAACTGAATAGTTAAAGAGAATTTGTGCCACATTTTAAGCCTGCCTGAGGTATCCACAGGACTGAGGTATCTCAGTCCATCTCTGGGAACCAATGAGAAAACAAATTCAGAGTCTGCCTAAACAGAGACTTCAGTCTAGAACTCCATTCACTTCACTATTACTAGACAAAATGAAACATAAATGTAAGGAATAACTGTGGTAGGTACAAACCCCCAGTATGTTGGTATCTGTCCTAGTTGTAATATATTTTTTATTCTATACTGTCTTCACCCTGTTTTGAGGCCCTAGCTAGAGGCCAGTCAGTTCCCCTTCTTGAGGAGTCAACCAAGTAGTTTAAACTCCCACCACTTCCCTTAAGTGGCTCTTGCACCCTAGGCCACCGTGGACCTACCTCATCACCCTGGGGCCAGGTATGAGACAACCGGGGACAGCCTCTATGCCCCAGAGCCCCAAGAACATTTTCAAATTAGCCAATCCTAAACCTGCATACCCTGCCTTTCCTTTTCCTTTCCCTGGAGACGACAATAAAGCTGCTTCCCTACCATCCCCCATCTCCCTCTGCCTCATGCCTCACTCTGTGCTTCCGCTGAGTGGCCCAGCACAGCCTGCTGTGTCTCCCCAGGGAACTGTGAGCCTCAAAACCATAAAATCCATCCCTGTTTCTTTCTCTTGATCCACATCTGGCCTCACCATACCTCAGTCAAGGTAATATGGTTAAAACACTGCTCTGTAACCTATCATGATAAAGAACAACTCTGAGACTAACTGTAGGTGTTGGTAGAGAAAAGTGTATGGAAAGCATGAGCCACTGCTATGGTGCTAATGAGCCTGAGCCCCTGAGGCACAGACTTGTACAGGGACTGGATGTTCTCTGGCAACAAAGGGATACTGCCTTTTGTTTTGTAGCTCCATGTAGGATTGATAGTTTGACACATGGAGGGATTGCTGCTTCTGTGATTTATTCTCCCTTGAGCATAAAGAAGGGAGAAAAGAGTCCCCTGTGAATAGGAACTTTCTAGAAATATCAGTGGTGATCAGAGTAGCTGCAGAGGGGTTCCCAGTAGGCTAAAATTGGACAATAATTTAAGGCTGCTGTTCAACATGTTCTCTGTTTAACAGAGAAGCAATTAACCAGACCTAGGAGAAGAACAGGGACTGTGGAAAAGCAACTCTCAGGCATGCACTGTCAAGCAGCAGATGAGGCTTCAATGTGAAAGGGGATAAGGCAAAGGAAGCTACAGGTCTGAGCCAACCATCGCACAAGAGGCGTGGCCCCAACAGTGCTGCAGACAGGCTGGTGATATAAAGTGATGACTTCAATGAACCTGCACTGTCATCATCAAGCAAGAGTCCAATAATTAACCCTTACACACCAGGGAGAACATGGCTTGTGCAGCATTATCCAATTTTTACTTTTTCAAAGGCCAGGCTTGTGAATCAAACTATTAACAGATTTTAGCCACTAAAAAATGAACTAAAAAATTATTTCAGGTGATTTCATACCTTTGAAAATGTTCAAGGGCACGTGAATTTCACTGATCTATTGGTAAAATATTTGCAGTCACGCTGTTTCAACAGAACAATCCTCCCCCACACTTGCATGATAATCAAAACATCATCGTTAAGTAAATTCTGTCATCGTGGTCTACAACGCAAACATTATAAAGAAGTCAGTAACAAAGAATGCCACGTGAGGTGCCCTGGGATGGCAGTGAGCAGAGGTGGTGCCCCGAAACGTAATGCCAGATAGACCTGTATCAGTACAGATAGGCGCAGTTATATATGCTGCAGTAACAAACACCCCATACATCTTAGTGGTTTTAAACAATAAGGTTTATTTCTTAGTTATGCTGAATGTCCAGCATAGGTTGGCCGATGCTCAGCTCTCTAATGGTATCTCTCAAGACTCAGACTGACAGAGTAGCCACCACTTACACCACTTCTTTAAATAGCTTGCATTCCACTAGGCAAAGCAAGTGCCACACCCAACTTCACTGGCCACATCCAACTTCAAGGAGGTGAGGAAGCAAAATCCTATGGCAGGGGTGGGCAAACTACAGCCCACAAGCCAAAGACCTGTGTTTGTAAATAAAGTTTTATTGGCACATAGCCATACCTATTTGTTTATATATTGTCAATAGCTGCTTTTGCCATAGAATTGAGTAGCTATGACAGACTGTAAATGGCCCACAAGCCTAAAATATTTACTATCTGGTCTTTAAGAAAAAGTTGGCAGGTCTCTGGCCTACTATATAAGTTGTCTTTCACTAAGTTATGCAGCAGTAACAAATAACCTTCCAATCACAGGGGTGTACACTACAAAGAAAGCTTTATTTCCTACTCACCTTACATGCCAGTGGCAGGTGGGCCGTGGCTCTGTTTTGCCCTATCTCCACAGGCTGAAGGACTATTTCCTATGGTAATATGCCATTCTCATGGCAGAGAGAAGAGCATGGCTGAGTCACATGATGGCTCTTACAGCCTAAGCACGGATGTGGATAGTCATATCACATCTGCTCACATTTTATTGACCAAAGCAAGTCACATGGCCAAGCCTGGCACCATTGGATAGAGAACTCCTCCACAAGGAAGCACCGTAAGTCACTGACTTTGTGCAAATGCTGACACAACTGACCGTGCTTACCACGCTTCCTGAGCAGTTTGAGTGGACAACACTAATGGCTGGCACAAGACCTTGAGAAGTAACCCTCCTGGGCAGGTGTGAGGAGCAGAGGGAGTCCCCAGTATATTTGAGTCAGTTCAGCCCTTTGAGAAACCTAGGATCAAGAGTTAATAGACCATGAATCTAGAACATGTCATTGTATCTCTCTTAACATTTTATAGAGTCCTCCTCTATAAAGAGATAATTGGACTGCATCATTGTTTTCAACATTTTCATGTTAATGCATTTTTACTATCACCCCTCCCCCCATCATGACTATTGCCCTACTTTGAGTAGACATAGATTGAGAATATGTTTTGGCTAAAACCATCACATTCATCAGTTACGAGCCACTGTTTACTATTTCTAGAGGTAATTTTGAGAAAATTGTGAATGACAGCACTTCTCTCCTGGGATTACTAATTAACACTTGAGCAGATTTGTACAGGCTAACAGGGAGATGGGAGCAGACATGCTGGCTTTAAAGCAGTATTTCTAGGATTACAGACACCTAAATTTATACTGCAGATAGATATAATGGGATCAGCACTAAATTCACTAGATGGTAATCATCTGTTAATCTGTATGTCTCCCTGATTTAGGGCTGTCAGATTCACTACTGTATCCCAGGGTACATGTAATTGATACATAGTTGATGGTCATTAATAATTTCTAAACTAACTGATAAAAAGAATCATTGTTCAGTGGTGCTTCTAAATGATTTTTTGAAAACCTTTTCTGTCAATAAAGCCCACACATACATTTGACAAAGAATGGCGGGCATACGCATGAGTGAATCATATTACATGTTTGGCTTACAGATAATGCAGATTTGCATTCCTTAACCCTCCAGGGATCTTCCACAGGTCTGAATTCCTGTACCTAAAAAGCACAAGTGCATCCATCTTATCTATGGTACAAAAACTAGTCTAACACATTCTTTTTAATTTAGTTCAGAGTCTTCACTCCAATGGCATAGCTCATCTAGGGAATAAATGAGGAATTGAACTTAGTTCTCTACACCTTCAACAAGTTTCCCACTTGGCTAATAGTCATTAGAAAATGTATAAGGCCATAAAATTCTTGTGTTAAACAGGATTTATTCATTTTTCTTTTCTTTTCAACTTTTATTTTAGGTTCAAGGGGTTCATGTGCAGATCTGTTACATGGGTATATTGTGTGAAGCTAAGGTTTGGGGGAATGAACAATCCTATTGCCCAGGTAGTGAGCATAGTACCCAATGGGTAGTTTTTCAACACTTGCTCCCCTTTCCATCCTCCCCTCTAGTAGTCCCTGGTGTCGATTGTTCCCATCTTTATGTCCACATATTTTCAACATTTAGCTCTCACTCATAAGAAGATGTGGCATCTGTTGTTCTGTTCCTGTGTTAATTTGCTTAATTCAAATCTCTGGACAGGCCTGTTGTGGCTCAGAAAAATGATATTCCAAAGTAAAGTGCTTTGGCATGCTGACCACTTTTGAATTGAAAGAAATTGGAATACCTCAGAAAGTGCCTCTGAACCAAGGACTTGCTAACTTTCTGTTTTCCTTGCTTCTAAGTGCAGGGAGGACCTCTCTCTGGAATTTCCCTATCTGATTAAGAAAACTTTTTCTAAAAGAATTGTAATAGTCTTAAACCCCCTCCCTAGGAATTTCATTAAATTAACAAGAAAGATTAACCACTGGAGAAGAGAAGAAAGCAAAATTCTGACCATACCCAGACAAACTTTTCATCTACCCTTCTGAGGACCGCTTCAGGAAATTACCCAAGAAACTTTATCTGCATAAAAAGACAACCTTCGTTTGCTTTGCAGTTCTGCCCCTTACCGTCCCATAAATTCAACTTCCAAAGAGAATCATTTATAAACTATTGTTTCCTCTTTGGGTCCATTAAGCTCTCTTAAAAAGCATTTACTACTAACCCTCAATTTCATGCATCCACCATCTCTGGCTCCTCTACAAAGAGAGTGCTTTTTAAGCTTCAGCTATCTGGCCTTTCTGTGAGCCTCATTTTTTTGTATGGCTTCCATGCTTATGCACATTAATAAACTTGTATGCCTTTGCCCTGTTAATCTCTCTCATCAGTTCATTTCAGCAGACTTGAACCTTCAGAGGGGGAGGGGGAAATTATCTTTGCCCCTACAGGATCTAACCCTGGATAAAGAAAAATGAATAAATGATTGAATCCACACACTTAAAGACTAGGGACTTTGTGTTCCATCTGCTCACGTATTTGACCATACCATACATTCTTAATTCTCATTGTGTTTCATAATCACCTTGTCAAAATTTTAAAGATAAGTACCTACCAAATTCCAATTCAATCTCTCAGACATGGGCTTTTTCTTGAGTTTATAGGTGATCCTCTGTTTATTCAAGATTGAAACCCACTGGTCTATATCAATGACTATTATTCTCCAAGGCCAAATAAATGAGACAGGCTAATTTTGACAATTGAATATTTTCCCCTTCTTTCTCAGATACTATGATTTATTTTACTTCATAGTTATACCAGACTAAATGGACTTCTTTTTTCTTTTTTTGAGAAACTTCTCAATGTTTTTACATCCCTTGGGGTTTTTTTTTTTTTTCGGTGTATTTACATGTAAAAGCCAAGAGGTCAACCCACTGAAAAGCCACTTTCTTACAAATTCAAGGAAGAAGGCTTCTAGGAAAATTTCCTTAAAGAGAATTTGTAGGAGAGTGCAACAATCATTAAACAGAAGAAAACACAGTTACTTTTTTTTTTTATTATAGTTTAAGTTTTAGGGTACATGTGCACATTGTGCAGGTTAGTTACATATGTATACATGTGTCATGCTGGTGCACTGCACCCACTAACTCATCATCTAGCATTAGGTATATCTCCCAGTGCTATCCCTCCCCCCTCCCCCCACCCCGCAACAGTCCCCGGAGTGTGATATTCCCCTTCCTGTGTCCATGTGATCTCACTGTTCAATTCCCACCTATGAGTGAGAATATGCGGTGTTTGGTTTTTTGTTCTTGCGACAGCTTACTGAGAATGATGTTTTCCAATTTCATCCATGTCCCTACAAAGGACATGAACTCATCCTTTTTTATGGCTGTATAGTATTCCATGGTGTATATGTGCCACATTTTCTTAATCCAGTCTATCATTGTTGGACATTTGGGTTGGTTCCAAGTCTTTGCTATTGTGAATAATGCCGCAATAAACATACGTGTGCATGTGTCTTTATAGTACTTTTTTTTCTCACAGTTTCTCACCCCTCTTACTCCTCACTTGAATCAACACATCAGCTTTAGCACCTCTCTAGTGCATAAATCCAAAAGGCCATAAAAAATACAATTGCAAATTGATCCTTCATTGCATTCACATTGTAGGATGAAAATAAATGTCAGACAAGTCAGTCCTTTATCAGATTTCATTAGGAAGTGATGGAATTCAGGACATGTCATCCCAACATATGATTGTAGGAAACCAGAATATGCCCATCCAAATAGGCCTCTTTGGCATGGGATTATTTTGAACTGGTTATTTTGAGAAACTGCACATACAGAAGAAGCACTGAAAAGTTACCCTTTTGTAACATAAATTTACATCTATACAGGACATCCCTATTGGTAGGAATGTCTCCCTCTCTGCACCAGGAAGAGGAAAATGTCTAAATCACTAGAGACTCTTATCAATGCAGAAGGCATTACTTAAATCTGCATAACAAACCTTGGTTTTGTTTATGATGCTTTTCCTGGCCACCTCTTCTTAACCAGGCCTTTCCCTATAACTTTCTTTTGTCTTAGCAAAGGATGGTATTTAAGCCTGAAGACTAAGACAACTTTTTTAGATCTACTCTAGAGGTTTACTCATTTTTCTGCATTATCTCCCATGTGTACAGGAAGTATACATGTTATTAAGCTTTTGTTTGCTTTCCCTTGTTAATCTACCTTTTGTTACAGGGAGTCCCAGCTAAAAATTCTTGAAGAGTGAAGGAGAAGATTATTTTTTTCCCCCTACAGAAATAAGTTTTATCAGGATAAACTGCAGTTATAGCTGCAAGCCTTATTAGGAGAGAATCAAAAAAGAGGGAGTTAATTAACATGGTCAATAAAGTTGGAAAAAGATCCCAGCCAGATTCACAAAGGCAAAGTGGAGCAGTGCTCATAACTCTCAACCTGTAGGTTAAAATTACCTAGTGATCTTACTAAAATGCAGAATCTGATTCAGTAGGTCTGGGTCAGGGCTCAAGAGTTTAAATTTCTAACAGATGTCAATGGCCCAAAGATCAGGCTTTTCACAGCAAAGCCAAAGAATTAACATAGAGCTAATTAATTTTTCCACTGGATTCAGTTGCAGCACATTGCTTTGATTTGGAGGTAAGTAACCAAAGAAAGAATTAAAAGAATATGTTTCTAAAAATCTCTGCTTTGGCCTAAGATAGAAGTTCTCAAACTTTTTGGTCTTTACACTCTTATTGAGGGCCTCAAGGACCTTTTGTATATGTGGGTTACATAGAGTGTTATTTGCTGTATACAAAATTAAAACTGAAAAATTAAAAAATATGTGTTTATGAATTGATTTAAAATTAGCAATAAACTCATATGTTAACATAAATAGGAAATTTTTATGAATTATTACTCTATTTTCCCAAACAAAAAACTCCATGAGAAGACATTCTTTTTACATTCTTGGCAAATCTCTTTACCCTCTGGCTTAATGGACCACAGCTGGCTTCTCATATCTGCTTCCACGCTAAATCTATAATGATAGTACATGTCATATAGTATCTGGAAAATGCCTTGACACACTTAGGAGAGAGAAAAAGGCAAATAATGTCTGGGTCATGTTATAAAAATAATTTGACCTTACAGAACCCCTGGAAAGGTCTCTAGGACTCCTGGGAGTCCCTGGATCATATTTTGAGAACTGTTGGCTTAAGATAGGGAACACAAATAGAGATGGCTTTCACTGACACAACTGAGAGAATGCTTAATAGTTCTTCAGTGACTACCTCTTTAGGGTTGTAGAGTCACTGTCTTAGTCTGTTTTGTGTTGCTATAACAGAATAACACAGACTGGATAATTAAGAACAGAGATTTATTTCTTATAGTTCTGGAGGCTGGGAAGTCCAAGGTTGAGGGGCTGGCATCTGGTGAGGGTCTTTATGTTGTGTTATCCCACAGTGAAAGGCAGAAGAATAAGACAGTCCACAAGAGAGCAACAGGAAAATGGAACAAACTCATCCTTTTCATTAGCAACCCACTCTCTCGATAACTAACCCACTCCCAAGATAATGGCATTAATCCATTTATGAGGACAGAGCCCTCTTGACCAAATTACTCTTTGAAGATCCCACCTCCCAATGCTATTGCATTGGAATTACATTTTCAACACATGAACTTCGAGGGACACATTCAAACCACAGAAATCAGTATTTTACGGGTGAAACCAGAAATTAACTGCTCATGTTGATTTCACCTATCTCTCCTTGTGTGCCTCTGGAGTGAATGCCTAAAGCAAGCACTATTTCCTTGAAGATAAGCAATTGCATTTGGTCACTCAGACCGAAGTTTTAGAAAAACCTGATTTTAAATGATCACATAAAGTTATGAGAGGATAATGAAGTTTGCAGGAGTAGAAGAGCTGTTTTTGAAGGATTTGAGCTGGTTTCTACAGAGTATACATTTTAATGGGATACTTCCAAAAGTTGTCTTTGGGGAGACACAAAAGAAGAAATATAAGGCTAACCCCAACTTTCAGGGAGCTTACATTCTATCTTGGGAAAAAAAGTATTAGAAAAAGTCTAAGCTGGCATACCATCACTTGCTACATTGTATGGAAAACTACAATGTGTTAGAAGAATTCAGAGAAGAAAGAAAGAGCTGGAATTATCACAGCAAGTCTTCACGGAAGTTATTTTAGGCTTTTAGAATAACTTTTGAAAACATTCTAGGTGCAGGAATGAGGGAGGAAGGAGAGGAGAGAGCCTGGGCAGGTGTGCAGGAACACAGGGAGTCCCCAGCATATCTGACAGCCAGAGAGGATCATTTAAGACCCTCCTCCTCTACACAACAAAATTGTCTTCAATAATTTTTTTTTTTTTTTTTTGAGATGGAGTCTTGCTCTGTCACCTAGGCTGGAGTGCAGTGGCATGATCTCAGCTCACTGCAAGCTCCACCTCTCAGGTTCAAGCGATTCTCTTGTCTCAGCCTCCCAAGTAGCTGGGACTACAGACGCCACCATGCCCAGCTAAGTTTTGTATTTTTAGTAGAGATGGGGTTTTGCCAGGTTGGCCAGGCCGACCTTGAACTCCTGACCTCGGGTGGTCTGCCCACCTCGGCCTCTCAAAGTGCTGGGATTACAGGCATGAGCCACTGCGCCAAGCCTTCAATAATATTCTTAAAATAATAGTAATAAAAGCCAAAAAATAATGGCAAACATAAAACATAGTCTTTTATTAAATTTTGTATGTACATTCAAGTCAGTTAGAAAACTATCACAGTACAAAAAAGGAAACAAAGTAATGGATTAATAATTTTTAATTACATTTAAGTATTTATTTTAAGGGAGAAGGAGAGCATAAAAGAAACACGTCCAAAGGAATAAATGCTACAAGGTTAGAGAAAGATCTGCACACAAAAGTGCAATAAGGCAAGCTCTGTCACTTTACCCTTAGAATTGTTGTATTACCATTGTTTATTTTGAACCTACTTTTTAAACGTAGGACTAGGTAGTATCACAGGGCTTAGAGACACAAACTGTGCAGGCAGCAAACTCAAATGATTCCAACCCTTATGAATTGACACTCAGCTGAGTATAGCTGGGTTGCCTGTAGGAAGCCAGTGGGTCAACAATCGTTATAGCAATTGTTTGTAACTTACCAACAAAAGGATTTTCTGGGGAGGAATATTACATCACTGATGATAAGGTTCAAGACATACTACCCCAAAATATGGTGACTTGGAATACTGAATATTTTAGGTTGAAGGAATTTGGAAAACAGCATGTATAGCAAAGATTGTCTGATCCTTCCCTGAGGCAGATCATGTGAAAGGTACCCTCCCTATGCCTGGAGGAAAATAACATCTTTCTCTCCAAAGACACAGGGATGTCAAGAGGAATGTGAACATACAGACCTTGTTGTTTCTCCCAGTTGACTATCCTCGGCTCATACTTTTTCTGTCCTAACACATTTCTCCATGACTCTCCACTCTTCACTCAAGCTAGCATAAAAACTCCCAGTTTAACTGCTTCTTCAAGTCTGTTGGGAGCAAGCCCCCCCAAACTCTGGCCATAAACTGGCCCCAAAACTGGCCATAAATAAAATCTCTGCAGCAATGTAACATGTCCATAATGACCATAACGCCCAAGCTGGAAGGATAACGCCCAAGCTGGAAGGTTGTGGGTTTACAGGAATGAGGGCAAGGAACACCTGGCCCGCCCAGGGAGGAAAACTGCTTAAAGGCATTCTCAAGCCACAAACAAAAGCATGAGCAATCTGTGTCTTAAGGGCGTGATCCTGCTGCAATTAATTTGGCCCATCCCTTCCTTTCCCTTAAGGGATACTTTCAGTTAATTTAACATCTATAGAAATAATGCTAATGACTGGATTGCTGTAAATAAATACATGGGTAAATCTCTGTTTGGGGCTCTCAGCTCTGAAGGCTGTGAGACCCCTGATTTCCCACTTCACACCTCTATATTTCTGTGTGTATATCTTTAATTCCTCTAGTACCGCTGGGTTAGGGTCTCCCCCACTGAGCTGGTCTCAGCAAAGTCATTTCCCTGTGAAGATTCCCATGCCACATAAAACTGGCATTCAACAAACGTGTGTGCTTTTCTCTTGTTACTCTGTCTTTTGTTATAGGGGCCCCAGCCAATGAACTTAAGACAGGTAGAAAGAAGAGATGTTTTTCCTCCCCAACGCTGATATCGTTTAGAATTGCTGGAACATGGTGATAATAAAAACAAGACTAGCCTGGCCAACATGGTGATACCCTATCTCTAGTAAAAATACAAAAATTAGTGGGGTGTGGTGGTGGGTGCCTGTAATCCCAGCTACTCAGAAGGCTGAGGCAGGAGAATCACTCGAACCCAGGAGGTGCAGGCTGCTGTGAGCTGAGATCGTGCCATTGCACTCCAGCCTAGGCAATAGAGTGAGACTCTTGTCTCAAAAAAAAAAAAAGACCAATTTTTAGTTGATTTTAATATTGTTTTAAGACTTTTGCAGACAATGCACCTCTTATTGCCTGGGGCCAATGGCATACATGGTCTTAGCTTCGTCCCCATCAAAGACCTGGGAATGGGAGAGAAAGCAAGCTTTTGGTACACATGTGGGGTGCAGGTATGGGGGAGCTTGCTCTAGGCTCAGCAATAGGTCTCGTTCTTTTTTCTCTTCAGTTACCCTGTGACTAAGTGGCTCCTGGCACGAGGGAAGGAGCTAGCAGCTATGGTAGGGGGAACAACTGTCCTTGGAATAACTTCACAGTCCCCAATGGGAGGCAGAAAAGATGACACTAAGATCCGGTGCAGTCACGTCCCTTCTCCTTGGGAGACAAAGAAATGGTGGAAGCCCAGGCTAAGGTATAGATAGCATCATACAGTAATGGGCTATGATATCATCCCTGTGGTAGCAATTTTCTTGATGAAGTAGAAAGTGTGGGCTGTTCGTTCAGAGAGAGGTAGGTAGGGTTGACATTTGAGAAAAGCAACAAAAGCCTGAAATGGAAAATCTCCAAAAAAAAAAAAAAAAAGTTAGACAAATAAAAAACAAAAGCATGGGGCAGGGGCTGGGACTTCTCCTAGAGGTCTGACTGATAACTTTCCTTGCCTCCCATTCTAGCTTTACTCTGTTCCCTGCGCTATCACTCTTCAGTCATCATTATCTCTCAGGGAGTGAACAGAGCATTCAGAATCTCAGGTTGACTCCGTATGTTTAGCTGTTCTGAGGGTAGACTGCAGGGACTTTTCCAGCTTGCTAAATATAACTGCTGTTTCTATCTTCTATACATAATTAGAGTCACTGATCCAGGCCAACAAAAATATTGATGAATAGAATTCAAAGTAAAGCTCTAGCAAACCTTTGGAGAGTAACATTTCTGGTCCATGATCTCCCAGGCTGTTATTTCTCTACAGAGTGAACTGTATTCCCTTTATAGCTTCCTCATAGCTCTAGAACTTAAAAGTCGCTTTGTCCCAGACTGAATAGCTGAATCAGTGACAACAGATACAGGGTTATAAAGACAAGAAAAAAAAAAAAGGTGCTTTTCCTAGAGAATGTAGGAAATGTTTCAGTGTTCCCTTCCCCATTAAACGAAAGGAAACAAGGCTGTTCACTGAGAGCAGTGCATTTTGCCTTCATATTAAATCTAAACAAAAAGGAAAGAGTTTATCTGGCTGAAATAGAAATATCCTTTCACCAAGTGATTTATGCCTTTAAGACTAGCAAAAGGCTGTGGGAAGAGTTGGAAGGCAATCAATACCTGTAGCAAATATGCAATGGAGAGACCCAAATGAATTGCATTGTCATGTATAATGAGCCTTTGTTTTGAGGTATGTAACCCATTTTCTCACTTGTCATGCTTTTCAATTATGTCTCTCACACTGTATTATCCACAAAGCTGCCAAGGGATGTTCAAATCAAGGGTGGCGACAAAAGTCAAGATTCAAGGAACTGAGATTCAAGAAACTGAGATTTGCCAGAATAATATCTGTAGAAAAACTATTTCCTAGGTGAATATCAAAATAAGGAGGAATTAATCTAATTTTCAATTTCTGATATTTATGACTATTTATCCAAAATAGTGTAACTCAGAAGTTGTAAACATGTTCCATGACTGTGACTTGAAAGAAATGAAGTTGGAAGGCCGGGTGCAGTGGCTCACGCCTATAATCCCAGCACTTTGGGAGGCCGAGGCGGGTGGATCGTCAGGTCAGAAGTTTGAGACCAGCCTGACCCACGTGGTGAAACCCTGACTCTATTAAAAACACACACACAAAAAGCCAGGTGTGGTGGCGCGCGCCTGTAATCCCAGCTACTTAGGAAGCTGAGGCAGGAGAACTGCTTGAACCCAGGAGGCAGAGGTTACAGTGAGCCGAGATTGCACCACTGCACTCCAGCCTGGATGACAGAGCGAGACTCCATCTCAAAAAAAAAAAAAAAAAAAAAAAAAAAGAAAAGAAATGAAGTTGGAAAAATACTGTATCAAGAGATATGTTTAAAAAATTTTTGAAAATCACAACTACTATTCACCCTTGTCCATACAGTAGTGACCACTTCTGCCTAATTTGTCTTCTAAAAATAGTTGTTAGTTCCAAACAAATATATTCATATCTGTAATAAAAATTATCCTTATGACAGTTCTTCATTTTCTCCTTTTCTCCTCCTGTGTCATCCCTTACTGGTAATTTACCTGTCAAAAACGGCAGAAAACACCATTATTACTAATATTCAATACATTTCATGATGAAAAATTTATCTATTATTGAGCACATTTATTTGTGATGTTAAAATAAATAGAAAGTATGGGGATGCACTTGGACCCTCAGAGTCTTTATAAAGGTTATTTTAAGGTGAAAACATTTGAGCTGCAGGAGATGCAGAAAGAAGTCTTATCTGAACTTCCCTTATCTGACTATAGCAGAGCCTCCCAAAAATACAGCTGCCATTAACTCCCCTCAAAGGCAGTTTCCTCCTAATTCAGCTGCCATGAAGACATATTTCCTATTCCCATTATCACTGAAAAGCCCAAGAGCACCTTCATGCCTTCCCCCTGAATCCCTAATTGCCCCCTTCACCTTTGTTAAGTTGGTATATAAACCCTTATCTCTGGCTAGTCGGTGGGTTACTCATTACTGAGCAGCTCTCCCATGCATGGGTAAATAAATATTGTCTTTTCTCTTGTTAATATGGCTACTGTCAGTTAATGTGTAGCCCCTCAACTACTGAATCCAATTTGAGAGAGAAAGAACTCTTTTGGCTCCAAAAAGCAAAATGAAGCGTTGAGATAAAATAGGTCACTATTTGATGTTCCAGCATATCTCATTCAAGTTTCCGAATTCAAAAATTATAAAGTTAGCAAGTTAATATTATTATAATTGTATTAGCTATATTAAATGGCATGGCCGCAGTAAGACAGACACCGTGGAATGTTTCTAGTGGACTGGAAATTGGCGTCATTTCCTGGAAAGCAATTTTTCAGTATGTATCAAGAACTTGAACAATGTTCATGCCTTTAGGCAAAAAATTTATATTTCTAGGCATTAAAATAGATAATTAGAGGTACTCTCAAATATTTATTTAAAGAGCTATCCAACATATCATATATCTATTATTTGCAAGGACAAAAATTATAAACAACTTAAATGTCCAATAATAAAGAATTGCTACATCAAATGTTAAGGGGTAAAATCAAACCATAACATTGTGTGATCTAAATTATTTGATATATGCTTGGAAAAGCATCTGAAAGGAACTACATCAAAATGCCAATAGACGTTTTCTATAACCTGGAGAATTATGGGCAATTTTTGTTCCTTCTTAGAATAAGAGAGAGAGAAAAAAAGGAATTTGCTGTAGGTAAAAGAACCAAAATGCATCATAATTACCTATGAACCCATTTATTAACTATTGTCTGGAGAGCTGGATCAGAAGACAGAAAAGGATTTAAAGTA
This sequence comes from Homo sapiens, assembly GCF_000001405.40. Taxonomy (NCBI): domain Eukaryota; kingdom Metazoa; phylum Chordata; class Mammalia; order Primates; family Hominidae; genus Homo; species Homo sapiens. The sequence continues at coordinate 72,241,340 of NC_000014.9, read as the reverse complement.
TTTTCAGAAATAAAGCACATGGTGAAAGGGGTTGTTAATATGCACATGGACTTGTTTGCATCTATATTTGACCAACATTACTTGAGCTCTGATTTTTTATACACAAAATGCCAGGCTTTTTTTCTTTTCCTTCTCTGTCTGCTTGCTCTCATAAAAGGCATAAGTTTTGTTTTTTTTTTTTTTTTGAGACAGAGTCTCGCTCTGTCACCAGGCTGGAATGCAGTGGCATGATCTCAGCTCACTGCAGCCTCTGACTCCCTGGTTCAAGCAATTCTCCTGCCTCAGTCTCCCGAGTATCTGGGATTACAGGTGCATGCCACCATGCCCAGCTAATTTTTGAATCTTTGGTAGAGACACGGTTTCACCATGTTGGCCAAGATGGTCTCAATCTCCTGACCTCGTGATCCACCTGCCTCGGCCTCCCAAAGTGATGGGATTACAGGGGTGAGCCACCGCGCCTGGCCAAAGGCGTAAGTTTAATTGTAGGAATTAGCTACAAGTTATCAGTGAATGGGTTAAATATTTAAATACTAAACCGCATTGTTAAATATGTTACAGAAATTTCTGCTGCAAACCATGTAGAAAATGTTTCAGTAAGGAGAGAAAATGACCATCACATACCTTTCAAATTTACCTAGTACCGGAAATAAAAACCCCAAACTCTTCTTATATTGAGAAGGAAGCTTAAGTGTTTATTTATCTCTAATTTTAATATACAACTTGAAAAATTCCCTGAGGTACTGCCTACTATAAATTTATAGAAGCATAATTAATAATAGTAGAGCCAAGAATTAATAATGGGGCTACAAACTTAATTAACAGCAACAGTTACCAAATGAGTGGCACTTTAATAGCTCCAAGAGTCACTTGAAAGCTTTACACTGCAGCTCAGCTTCTGTGCTGTGTGCCCTCAGTAAAATGGCTCTCCATCCAAATGAAACTCACTTCTGATAGCCAAGAGGCATAATCAGAGCTACATTTAAACATCAGACTTGCATTTAAAAATCCCCCCCACCCCGATTAACTCACAGTTGACTTGCCTACTCACTGGTTTACTATCAATGAGGATGGGAGATCAGACAGATTAGGATCAAGGCTGCAGCTCTAACCACATTAAGTGTGGAGGCAGAAAATCATATTTATTCAAAGGATTCCCTCAAACTGAAAACTCAAGAGTCTGGTGGAAATGCCACCGTTAGAGGGTGGGGGTTAGGGGAAGGACACATGGACTCTAGTACCTCCCCAATGTGACCTGGGTTTTATGTTGAAACACTCCGCCATCCATAGTGAGCTTTAAGCGTGTGTGTGTGTGTAGATTCATGTTAGGACACCCTCAACAGTTACTAGTTAATATATGAAGCACCCTAAGCAGGAAGTACCAAGACAGTGGTGTTAGTGAGCATTTGAAAGATCCCAAATGGTGTTTATATTCCCAGAGGTGGCCTCATAAAAGCTTCTAACTCTCCCATCTGAATCTGCAACAGATAGTTCATTAATTAGCATAAAGGGATATTAGAAATTATTTTCAATGGTCAAATGAAGGCTATGAGAGATTTGAGGGATGGCTAGAAACCTCAAAATTTCCATGAAAAGGGTGCTGGGCTTAGCCAGCCTAGCAAACACTTTCAGAGGAGGGCTGAGGCCCAGAACTTCCTTCACACCACTGTCCTACTGCTTCCGGAAAGACTCTGTCCTCAAGAAGCAGCTTCCTGATCCTGCTATCAGATTACTGGTGTCAAGAGAGGTGCTCACTGTGTTACAGGTAGTTAGACAGGCATGAGCGGGGCAGGAGAAGGCTCTTCTCCCCCACCCACTAGGAATGTCAGGTGATGGTCTGACAATTATCACACTGCCTCTCTAAAAATGATAATTCAGCAGCCAGTCCAAGGGCACCAGGGAGAGACAATCTCCTGATGAGGCACATCTGTTAACATTAAAGTGTTAATCAAACGCAGGCTCCAGGGAGAAGCAACTTCCTGGGCAGGTGCATTAAGAGACAAAATGGCAAAGTATGACTTCCAGGGGCACACCACCAGAAAAGGGAAGAAAGCCACAGATGGGCATGCATACAACTTCCTAAACACACTGTGTGTGCACAATTCCCAAAGGTAAGGAGGGCACTGTGCATGCAGGCAGCTCACCCTAAGGGAGGAATCATGGGAATCCTAGAAAGTCCTAGCATCACCGTTAAACGGGGCTCTTGACCTTCAGGTGCTCACTTGGGTCTCTTCCAAGTGAATTTTCCTTTCTTTACTGTTCTAAAGCCTTTTTAAATAAACTTTCACTCCTGCTCTGAAACTTAACTTCAGTCTCTTTTTCTGCTTTATGCCCCTCCATTGAATTCTTTCTTCTGAGGAGGCAAGAATTGAAGTTGCTGCAGATCCATATGGAATTGCTGCCAGTAACTCGGACACCTTCCACTGGTAACAACCGGGCTGCCTAAACCACGGATGGGGGACAACTTGAGTTTACAGAACAGGTTGTATGAGTGTTTTAGGCATGGTATATGAATCTCCTTGTTAATAAAAGTTTTCATGTGTTGCAGAATCAGGTTGGAGGCTGGTTTTCATGATCCCAGAGCAGCTGGGAGTGGCAGAGAAAGAGAGACTCAGGAACCTCATGGCTGACTTCTCTGATTGCCAATCAAAAGTACCAGATTGGCTTAGGTCACTTTTCAATAACTCCCTCTACAGGCCCTCCCTGCTGCCCCTCCCCTCACCTCAATATATACACACTGAGAAAACAAGATGATATAAAAGGGGAAAATATACATAAGTTCTGATGACCAGGAGCTTAAATAGAGCCAAAGTACAAACCCAAAACTCTCAAAGACCGTAACTGTGGCACAGAGCAATGCTTGGGGGGAAGGGAGGATGTAAAGTACACATACCTTCGGTTTGGCACTGACATAGCGATACAGACAGGAGACAGGGAAGTACTGGGTAGAAGAGGGCAGTTTCCTGGCAAAGGCCCCACCCTCAAGCCTGGAAACCACAGCCCTAAATGAGAAGAGTTATCCCTGTTTTCCCACCCAAATGTTACCTTTTTGGCCTACCCGCTCCCCCTCTCCTGTGCCCACATAAACCTCAGACCTTAGCTGGCAGAGAGACAAGCAGCTGAACGTGAAAAGGAGAAGCAACTGAGTGTCCGAAACTATAAACAGATGCGGCTTAACTTCAAAGAGAACAACTTTGGAGAAGAGCCTCCTCAGAGACGGCCAAGCTTCAGAGATAGAGCACCTTCTTCCCGCACCATCCCCTTTCCAGCTCCCTTTCCACTGAGAGCCACTCCCACTGCTTAATAAAATCTCCATATTTTGAACCATCCTTCAAGCCTATGTGACCTGATTCTTCCTGGACACCAGACAGGAAGCCAGGTACCCAGAGGGCAGGGTGTAAAGGCCTGTCACCCTGACTTGCCACTGAGCTGGTTAACACTTAGCTATCTGCAGATAGTAACTGCTATGAGCGTTGTAACACATGCCCTCGAGGGCTCCAGAGGTCGCAGACAACCCTGGATGCTGCCGTTGACCAGTACCAGTACGGGGTTCATTCTTGCCACATTCCCCCAGCTCCTGTACCTGCTCACCTGCATGCTCCCTCTCAGGCAGGGGGTTTGAGCATGGTGGCAGTCAAATAAGTGGGCCACACCCCTTTCACAAGTCCTGCAAAGGGGTCAAGGGAACTCTCCCGTCTCAATAGCAAGCAGTCAGAGAGTACAGGACTAGGAGTTAGGAAACCAGGGTTCTAGTTTAGCTCCAACAATTAGCGATTATGTAATGTCTCAGCTTCCATTGTGTGGATTGCCTCTGCCTCTTCAGCAGGTAGTTACGAAGCTCATCTGAGAACAGATGAGGAAGAAAACGTCTGGTGTACTGTAAAACCCAACATGTCATGTGGGTTTTGTGCCAGGGCAATATATACATTCATTGAGTACCTACTGTGTGTAGACTCTGTGCTAAGACTACATATTCCAGGAGTTTCAAAAGTAATCAGAAAGCTTATGCCTACAAAAAGACTTGCATAAGAACATGCACAGCAATTTTCTTCATAATAGCTGCAAACTGGAAACAGCGCAGGTGACCATCGATAAGTAAATAGATTTAAAAATTGTGGCATATTCACACAATGGAATATGATTCAGCACTAAAATGGGTACAGATTACTGACATATGCAAACAAAAATAGATGAATTTCAAAAATGTGCTGCGTGAAAAAGTCTCATGCAAAGTAGTATGTATTGCATGTACTTATCCCAAATAGTACATACTATATGATTCTAGAACTGTATACAGTTCTAGGAAAGACTAAAGTAATCCATGCTGAGAAAAAAATCAGAACATGGGTTCCCTCTGCGTGCACGTAGGGTGGAAATCGACTGGAAAGAGGCACTAGCATCACCATTCTGGGTGGTAAGAATGCCGCCGCCCCGTCTGGGAAGCAGGAGCACCTTTGCCCGGCCGCCGCCCATCTGGGAGGTGAGAAGCGCCTCTGCGCAGCTGCCACCGCGTGTGGGAAGTTAGGAGCACCTCTGCTCAGCGCCCCCTGCCATCTGGGAAGTGAGGAGTGCCTCTCTCTGGCCGCAGCCCTGTCTGGGAAGTGAGGAGCACCTCTGCCCGGCCCCCTCACCGTGTGGGAAGTGATGAGGGCCTCTGCCCGGCCCCTCCACCGTCTGGGATGTGAGGAGCGCCTCTGCCCGGCCGCTGTGCAACCTTCCAAGTGTGAAGTGACAGCCTTGTGTGTGATCTTTCTGCCTTCCCCAAGTTTGCATTTTCGACATTAAAGTTTACTTTTTAATTAAAGTTTTAAATTGGAGAAAAAAAAAGAATGTCTGTACCTTGGCTTGGGATTGGCATTACACAGGTGTATGCATTTGTCAAAACTCAATGAATGGAAAGCTTAAAATGTGCTTATGTTGCTGTGCGCACATTTTACCTGAAATATATATTAAATATTTAACTCGAGTTAATAATAAGCATGCTGAACTGTTTAGTGGTGAAGTGTACTGATTTCTGCAATTTAATTTAAAATACACCAAAAATAAGATGAAGAGAGGGATGAATACATGGATAGCCAGTGATGAAGCAAACAGAGGAAAACATTAATTGTAAAATGTACGTGATGGGTGCAGGGGACCCACTGAACAATTACTTCAGATTTTCTGTTTGTGTGAAAATGATCCTAATAGAATGTTGGAAACATCCCTGACCACCCTCCTTCCCTTTCATTTTGCCAAGCAATTTTAAGATATTAAGAAAATGAAAGTGTGTGATAAACACAGCTGCTGTAAGAATACATTTTTCAATGCATCATGAAAATTGCATTGTCTACAAATCTTGCTTGCTTTAATTATTGAAGAAAGTACAAAAGTCTTTAGTAGTAAGTAGCTCTATTTGATTTGGAACAAGATATTATGTTAATAGCCCTTACAAAGATTTAAAGAAACCAATTTCACTTTCTAATACAATAAATGCAAGACAATTTCTAGAATTTATGTATTTCTATGTTAAAGCCTTATTTGATAAGCAGTACTGGACACCTGAGTTAGAATGCTGTGGGTTATTCACCAAACAAAATATGCAGAATACATATATATCCATCTACAAGCTGTTATCAACTAGCACATTGTTGGACTGTATCAGAACCATATAGTCAAGTCCTAGGTTTGGCGTTACAAAGGAGCAACCATTGAGCAACTTATTTTCTCTTAGATATCAATGCCTAAAATTCAGGTGGCTGCTACCAGGTAAATGGTGTTCCCTTTGGCTGAGACATTGTAGATGGATATAATTGAAATAAGAATGATAAAGGAAGTAGATTATACATGATTTGTCCAGCTCCAGATATTATCTATAAAGATATTTAAAACAGGACAAATTGTTCATTAAAGTTTATTTCAATTATGCCAGAGAAAGGCCTTCCATATTCTTGGGTCCTTGTGTGTCACCAGCTCCAGTCCCCACTGTCCCAGGCTGGTTCTTTAAGACGATGTAGGGACACAAGGACCCCCAGAACATGCCCTGAGTTTTTGTCTGATTTTCATTTTGGCTCAGATCTTCTCATATTTTCCTCCCTTCTGTCACCTCACCAAACTGAAGGTGGGGTGTGGGAGAGACTGGGATTGAGGGCCTGCCTCATCCTTCTTCAATCCACGCATACTCCTACCTGCCCACACCTACCTCAGGCCACTTACCGTTCCAGATGCCAAGAATATGGCAAAGACCTGCTGTCCCCAAGTTTACATTCTAACAGGAGAAATAGACAATAAACAAACAACTAAATAAATACCACGTCAGATGGCAATGGGAGCTAGGAAAAAAAGCCATGCCATCTAGTTGACTCAATTGTAAAACGAGGACAAGAATATCGTCTCTGAGGTGGGAAATCAGGCTGACAATATGGTGCCTCTCCTCTTTTCTTCCCCTTTCCCACAAATTTGGAAATGGAACAATACAACTTCTCTGTAGAGCTTATAGCCACAAAACAAAAATAACGAAATAAAGTGGTGAGATGCAAAGATACCACAAAGAGAAAACTTGCTCTCAAAGGAAGATGACAACTTACTGAGGGTCCATGAGGAAAATGTCTAAAGAAAGGATGAATCAGCCCAATGGGCTGATGATGATCAGTGTTAGAGGCACTGCAAGCAGAGACTGAGAGCGGCTGGGACTGGTGGTGGTGTCCCTGTCACTGTGAGGTAACCTTACCATCCAGCCCTACAGCAGGCAGGGTGGCACTGGAGCCAAGACGATCACAGCTCTGTAACCCTGTCAGTAAGGTGTCCTATCCTCACTCAGCCTACACTGTTTCATGCTGATAAGCAACCTTCTGATCTTAATTTATGTCCTCATATAAATTTGCCTTCATATTGAATGCACTGATGAGAGAACATATGTATCTGGTTCACAGAATTGTTTTTTTTTTCTTCTCACAAAATAAGCAGCTGGCATCATTTCTGTTTTTATACATCAGTCTCTTATGAGTCAAGATAGTATGTGTCAGTTTCCCAGGTCTTCATTCACCTCTGGTTATGCAAATCAGAATTTTGACCCTAACACAGTTGGGACCCAGCTCTCAGAAAATGGTTACCCCTCTGAGGTACAGTCACTATGTGGGGTCATGTCAAGAGATGAGCCTGTCTTAACTGCTTGCCTTCCTCAACAAGCAAAACGGAATGATTCGGAAAATTAAAGGCAGTGTACGCAAAGTGCTTATCGGACTTAGAACACAGGTGCTTAATAAAATATATAAGCCACACAACACTCTAAGAATTTGACTCTCCCCATCTCCAGGAAGTGAGCATACTCACAAGCATAGCACAACTATGCCCGTTCGTTCCCTTAACCAGTGCTAAGCACAGCCGCTACCCCCAAATGATGTGATTAGAATCTCCCTGCACCACAGACACTCAGTACGAACTCTAACTATTCGGTCCTTCACCCCATCACCACAAACAGCCAAGGTCTTGAAGCCATGGCTTGCTCTCGAAACAGCCCATCTGCCAGGATGTCCACATCATGGGCAGAGAGGTCCATGCCACTGCCCCACCTACTGAATACAGCCTCTAGCGTCCGGTCTGGCCCAGTGAGCCTGCAACCCTCTCTCTTCTAGCTAATTGTGAAACCATGGCAGGAGACATCATGCTGTCCCTCTGCTCACTGTGAACGTTTGTATAGAACCAGCCCTGCCAAACACACACTAAAAAACAGCTACCTGAAAATGGTGTCCTAAGCATTGGACTACTAACAAGTATACAAAGAATCAACCCAGAACCTTTGATGTGGGTTTAAATGTAAGTGACATTTCATATGCAGAGGCTGTGGAAGGTGCTGATCTCAACTTATTTTTAATACAGTTTCCACATTGATAAGCCATCTATAAGTCCCACGAGGTTTGCATTCCATAAACAATTTACCCACTTGAGCCATGCCTGCACTGTGTCCCGATGGAGGTAAGTGCCAGGCAGTATTTGACAAGGACTCACAGACGCTCCAGGCCAAGTGGAAAATAAAGGTCTTCGAGTCCAGCCCCCAAGAAATACCCAAGCCTCCATCCTGCACACTCCTTCTAAGTGGCTGTCCACTTCATTGCTTAGATACCTCCAATGATAGGGAACTCGCTTCTCTACAAATGCAAGGCCAAAGAGGCTGGCATTAGAATCAGAGCACTTTGGGCCCTGAAGTGGGACAGGATGAAGGACCTGACTAGGATGAACAAGGACCTTCTGGGGCCTGCTCCCTCTCTGCCAGTTACACCTGGTATACATTCAGGTCTACAAGCCATTCCAGGCTACAGCTTCTTCAGGAGTTAAGCATCCTGAGAGCTCTGTAGGTGGGTAGCACCTGGTCATTCCTCACATCCCCTCAGACAACGCTCCCTTACGTCTCCTGTGGCCACCCATGCTCTGCTTGGTGCCCCAGGAAGCGTACAGGCTGCATGCACGCCAGCCTCAGGCTTGCCAGGCCCTCCCAGGGCAGTCAATCCCATGTTCTGGCATCCTCAGCTCCCATCCCAGCACCTGTTCCCTCTGGTCCTCTCATTACTTCATCCCCATTGATTCTACCCTCCTTTCCTGACTTCCCTAAAGACACTCCCCACAGTGCCTGCTGAAACCCCTAGCCCATGGTCAATAAGGTCCCCAGCATTCCTACCCCTTTCACAGGAGAGTCCCCTCACCTCCCAGCCTCAAGCCAGATCCGCCTCTCCATTGAGGACACCACTTCCAAGTAGACCTTCCAGGCAGTGGCTGCTCATGCCACCCCATGCCAGGTGACATAAGGATGGAGGCAAGAGAGTTATCTTCATTCTTACATAAACTATGTCCTGACAGCAGTCTTCCAATCTATTTAAATAAAGATCTGAGGTGGGAAGGAAGAGACTGAGTTACGTGGATATTAGGAAGAGAATGTTTCAGAAAAGAAAGAAGTGCATGCAAAGACCCAGAGGCAGGAGCCTCAAGCACCTGCCTGCATGCAGCTAATGCTCCTCTTTCTACCCCGTTGCTGCTTTCCTCCACCATCTTCCCTCTCCTGGAGGACTTCAGAATCTGGGTCAGAGTTCTTCTCCCCATGCCCACCCATCCTGTCTCCATCTTGAAGAAGTTCCATGTCAACACAGCAGACCCCTCCAGACATGCTGCTCTAGGGTCCTGGGCCATCTTGGTCTTCGCTGGCAGGCTGCTTCAGCAATGCATACCCGTGGCATGGTCCTGGTCATGCTCATACCTAGCATGGCTTTCAGACCACAAATTCTTCTTGCCTGGATTACGGTAACAGTTTCCCACTGGTCTCCTTCTTCTATCCTTGTCCTCCCAGTATCCCTTCATACAGCCTCATACGGCCTCCAAAACGGCCCTTAGAGAAGAACCTTGTCACTTCTGTGTTCAAAACTCTCCACTGTCTTGCCACCTCACTCAGCATGAACTCCAGAGAACTTATAATGACCCACCACACCCAACATGGCTCCTTGTTGCAACCTATCCCAGTTCATCCCCCACCCCTCTCCTCCTCACTTACAGGGAGAAGCAGCCTCCAGCCTCTGAGCACCTTTGCACACACCATGTTCTTTCTCTCGAACACGCTCTTCCCTATATATTCATAGCCCACGCTCTCCCTTCATGCCTTCGGGGTCCTGTTTAAATGTCACTTTATCCGAAAGGGTTTCTCTTATAAGTCTAGCATCCTACCCCAGCCCTGTCTGGCCCCATCACTCTCTATTGCCTAACTTGGCTTTACTATTCTTCATAACACGCTTACCACTGGACCTGGGGCTAGTGTTGCTTGCTGAAGTTGTCTGCTTATTAGCAGATACCTCCTCCCACCAACAGAATTAAGCCCCATGAAGGCAGAGACTTTGTCTGTTCTGTTTGCCACTGTATCTCTAGCACCTAAAACAGTTCCTGGCTCATAATCAATGCTTATTAAATAACTGGTGGTTGAGTAAATAAATAAACTCCAATATACCACATTTAGCTCACCCTCTTACTCCCACTAAATCCACTCTGACTTTATGTAGTGTCAGTTCCTTGACAATTAAATGAAATCGTAACAATGATAATAATTTAAAATTAATGTGATACTTAGTTCAGTGCCCAACATAAGTATTATTCATGCATTATTCATTTTAACTGGTGGGGTTGATGCTCTTGTCACTTTACGCTTGGGGAACTAACTTCTCAGTCCAGCCACAACCCTGAGGGACTTTGTCCACCATTCTCTCGACAGCAACGTCAAGATCTCCCCTTGAGACTCCAGTGACCCCAGCCTGAAGATTCCTCCAATCATCAATCAGTTTAACAATCCACTCTCTTGGCTTCTATTTGCTAGGTATTTATCTCTGTGGAACTGAAGAGGAAAAATAGATCATCTAGTGTCATGCAGACTGGCTCACAGAGTTTAGGCCTCTGTGACACTCCAATGTATGTGTTAACTTGGCAAGGCTACGGTACCCAGTTATCCCACCAAACACTAATTTAGGTGTTGCTGTGGAAGTATTTGATTGATGTGGTTAGCAGCTACAATCAGCTGACTGTCAGTAAAGGAGATAACCCTTGATCATGCAGGTGGGCCTCATCTCTTCACCTGGAAGGCCTTAAAAGCAAAATTGAGGTTTCCCCGAGGAAGAAGAAATCCTGCCTCGAGACTGCAGCATCAGCTCCTGCCTGAGAGTTTCCAGCCTGCAGTCCTGTCCTAGAGATTTCAGATGTGCAACCCCCACAGTTGCATAAGCCAATTCCTTGAAATAAATTTCTGTGTGTGTGTACGTACGCATATATATCCATCCTACTGTGTCTCTGGAGAATCCTGAGTGCTACAGTTTCCAATCTTAGTTGGATCCTCAATATCTCTTAGCAGTCCTCTACACTGTCCTTGTGATCTCTCTCTCATCCTTCAAACCCTCAACTAGCTTTTTAAGCTCCCCACCCTGCCTTCCTGTCTTTTCACAAGTGCTTTTGTTTTCAATTTCACAAAGACAATTAAGGCTATTAGTTCTGAACACCTCTAAATTCCAACCTCATACATATAAACATCTTGGTGCTTACAGCCATCCTTGCCTTCTTCTGTCAACACTGACCATAACTCCCAAGAGACAACCATAGGTGCCATGTGACATTCCTCTCTCCTCACCACAGGAGAAGACGCTAGATCCAGGAATAACTAAAATGGACATTAGCTGTTCTGCCTAGCCCATCCCGTCAATATCTCCTCCTTTGAAAAACTCTTTCTTCCCTTTCCATCTGGTTCTACTAAGCCAGACAATTTGATACCCCAATTCCAAGTCTATCAGATGATAAGGAGCTCAGGCTGAGTCATTGGTTGATTCATCCAAAATACACTACATCGCCCTGCACAAGTGATTGGCCCACAGGATTGGCACAGGATGTAAATGAGGCCAAACAGAGCCCTTCTCCAGTAGGGTTTTGCAGTGATGGTGGAGAAGCGAGTCTTATGCCTCATGTGTCACTCTGAGATATAAGGATGTATCTCCAGATCTGCCAATGGCCATATAAACCACACCATGAAGAGCATGAGGTCAACAAATCAGCAAAAGTGCAAGGGAGAGAGAATCTTGATCATATTGTTTGAGTCCCAGAATCTCCGAAGGGAGCTTTATCCCTGGACTTCCCAACTCAGTAAGCCAGTACATTTATGTTTCTTAAGTTAATTTGATCTGTGCATCTGTCACTAGCATACCAAAGTCCTAACTATTATAGAAACAAATTTCCCAGAAATGTGGGACAAAGGCCCTAAATGACTCTGTCAGTTATCTGGGGAGAGCTGTGGCCAGAATCAAACCCCAACCTGCCATATATTTAACAACATGGTAAAGAGCACTGCTGAAGCTGGGGTCCCTACAAGAGGACATGGAGGGTACATGTAGGGAGTACCAGCCCACAATGGGAAGCCCTAGCTTTAGAGGGTCAGGATGGACACCAGGCATCCAGTGACCACCAGAGACGTGATTTTCCCCACAAGGTTCAAGATCTGCTTGATCAGGGGAGCATGGGGACAGGACCTGGTCTGGAGAGCCATTAGGTATGTGTGTGGGAGGGTGGTAGGGGCCAAGGGGTGAGGGGAGGGGTGGGAGGTCAGAGAAATGACTAGTTAGAAATCAGCATGAGAGTATACTGATATTTTAATTTAAAATTGCTCATAAATCATACAATTTTTAGAAGGGTTTATTTTACTATAGATTTGCAAGACGTTACTATTGGGGGACAGTGGAATCTCTTTGTGTTGTTTTCCCAAATGTATCTACAATGATTTCACAAGGAAGGGAAGACAGAAACAAGGAGTTTCACTCTTGTTGCCCAGGCTAGAGTGCAGTGGCACAATCTCAGCTCACTGCAACCTCCGCTTCCCAGGTTCAAGCGATTCTTCTGCCTCAGCCTCCCGAGTAGCTGGGATTACAGGCACCTGCCGCCTTGCCCGGCTAAATTTTTATATTTTTAGTAGAGACGGAGTTTTACCATCTTGGTCAGCTGGCCAGGCTGGTCTTGAACTCCTGACCTCAGGTGATCTGGCTGCCTTGGCCTCCCAAAGTGCTGGGATTACAGGCGTGAGCCACCGTGCCCAGCCCCGAACTAGAATCTTCAAAGTGTTTCTTGTCTTTCTAGTCTCCCCACGCTACCTCTTTGCTCAGTCCCTAACCTGCCTGCTCCACTTCCAGCATGTCTCTGAACTTAGTCCCACACTACTATTGCTACATTCAATGTTCGATTCAAGTTCATCTTCTGTCACTCAGATGGTTGCAGCGGCTTCCTAGTTGATTTCCCTGCCTCTGACCTCACCTTGCTCTATTTCTACTGAACCACCAGAATTATCTTTCTCAAATACAAATCTAATGGCATTCCTTGATTAAAACCCTCCAATGGGTCCCTACTAACAAGATGATGAACGTATTTGTTAACATGGTAACCTACTTCTGTATTTTTATTTTTATTTTATTATTATTATTTTTTGAGACAGAGTCTCGCTCTGTTGCTCAGGCTGGAGTGCAGTGGTGCAATCTCGACTCACTGCAACCTCCACCTCCTGGGTTCAAGGAATTCTCCTGCCTCAGCCTCCCAAGTAGCTAGGACTACAGGCGCCCGCCACAATGCAGGGCTAATTTTTTTGTATTTTTAGTGGATACGGGGTTTCACCATGTTGGCTAGGCAGATCTCGAACTCCTGGCCTCAAGTTATCTACCCACCTCGGCCTCCCAAAGTGCTGGGATTACAGGTGTCAGCCACCGTGCCTGGCCTACTTTTGTATTTTCATATTCATTCTTCCAGTTACCTGAGGTGCTGGTTCCTCCTGGTTCCCCTTGGGGAATCCTACTTATTCATCAAGATTCAGTTTAAATGTTCTTCCACTGTTAAGATCTCCTGGTACCCTCATACAGAACAGGTTCTCCAATCCCAGGACATTCATGTGTTTATAATTGTAATTACTGGCACATAAATTGCTCTTCCCCCCTCCCCAGTCAAGTATCTGGCTTGCTCTGGGACCCCCAAACATACCAAGCCACAGCTAATAGAAGTTTTTCTTTTCTCCCAGAGGTCCCTCTATACAGACACATCCAGTTATATGCCACAGTTTAGCTAGTTAAACGGAAGAAGTCATATTCTTTATCTCATATACTTTAATATGACATCTAGATTCTAAAACTTTAACATCTAATAAAATATGCTAAACAAGAACATACCAACTAAAATGCTCCCTTCTTTAAAAATACTGTATTTGAAGGCCAAATTACAACTTACGATTTTGCTTGTGCTTATGAACAATTTGTAGAATGACTGGCATTGGGAAGGGGCCTCAAAGCCTTAAAATCATTATTGCCCAAAACACTAGGGGTTTTGGTGAACATCTTTATTCAATTTTTTCATCATTTTAATATTGTAGTCTTAATTTAGATGTCTCCAGATTAAGAAAATGTTCCAAGCCCCATGCAGTGGTGCTTGCCTGGAGTCCCAGCTACTCAGGAGGTTGAGGGGAGAGGATTGCTGGAGCCCAGTAGTTCAAGTCCAGCCTGGGCAACACGGTGAGATCTTGTGTCTAAAACAAATTTTAAAAAACTGCACAGTATGCAATATTAAAATGAAAAGAAGGAATGAAGGTGCTCACCAAATCTCCTATTATCAAAATAAAGTGAGAAGTTTCACTATATGTAACTCTTTATGTCCATTTGATTGAACACACACATTCCTATATTAATGCACATACAACATCTTCATATTTTAAATCACTTTACAAACACCTGCAAGAATCAAGTTCTTTGAAAGAAATGTCGTATATCTAGTGGAGAGAAGTAGATGAATGTTGTGTATATATCTGGTTGGTTTGATTTGTTTGGTGTCCTCAACAGCATGCATGGGTACAGTGGCTCACGCCTGTAATGCCTCCACTTTGGGAGGTCAAGGTGGGCGGATTACTTGACACCAGGAGTTCAAGACCAGCCTGGATAACATGGCAAAAAGCCATCTCTACTAAAAATACAAAAAATTAGCCAGGCATGGTGGAATGCGCCTGGAGGCTGAGGCAGGAGAATCGCTTGAACCCAGGAGGTGGAGGTTGCAGTGAGCCAAGATTGCGCCACTGCACTCCAGCCTGGGCTACACAGCATGACTCTGTCTCAATCAATCAAGCAATCAATCAATAAAGTGTATAAGAATCACCCGGGGATCTTGTTAAAATGAAGATTCCGATTCAGGATATGTGGGCTGGGATTCATGGTTCTATTTATCTGACAAGTTCCCAGTTGATATTGATGCCACTGGTCCGTGGACCACACTTTGAGTAGGAGATACTACACAGCATATGCATGATATAAAATTGGCAGCTCTGGGCCCCCAGATATATCAAGCCATAGCTAATAGAAAAGTTTTTCTTTTCTCCCAGAGATCCATCCATATAGACACGTCCAGTTATGTGCCACAGTTTAGCTAGTTAGATAGAAGAAATCATATTTTTCATCTCATATACTTTGATATGACATCTAGATTTTAAAATTTTAATGTCTGAGAAAATATGCTAAGCCAGAACATACCAATTAAAATGCTCCCTTCTTTAAAAATACTGCTTTTGAAGGCCAAATTATAACTTGCTTTAGGAACTGCTAAATGTCTAATTAAAAATGATTTCAGTGGTATTTTCAGTTTTTTCCTTTGAAATTTCAGAGACTGAGGTTGATTACTTTCAAAGGAGTGGGTGGACATGGGCTATAGATTTGGATTTTTATTTATTCTTAGTTTTCCAGAACAAAGTGAAAAGTGAAAATTACATCTAAACACCCTTAAACTCTGAGGAATTTCCTTTTAAGCAAGAAAACTGGATGCTACAAAGCACCTGTTTCTTCAGAGACTCCAAAATTAACCATAACAGCAGCAAAAATCCCAAATGTTAATGGCTATAAGCATAGAAAGATGTTAGAAAAATCTCATTTATGGAATGAGCTGAAGCATCTATTAGTTGACCCTTAAAGTATACATAAATATTGGAGAATATTAGCAGCCAGTGAACATGATAGATGGAACTTATTGAAATAGATATTTAAGATATAAGTGAAGAAGCCAGATTTGATTACACTAAATATAGTATGACCCTATTTTTGCAAAAAGCATAGAATTTTTGCTAGAGGAATACATGCTATATTATTAACGTTAGGTATCTTTGGTGGTGGTATTATAGGAAGTTTGATTTTTCTTTTTCCTAAAGCGAATGGTTTTTGGCTGGGCGTGGTGGCTCATGCCTGTAATCCTGACACTTTAGGAGTCTGAGGCAGGCAGATCACTTGAGCCCAGGAGTTCAAGACCAGCCTGGGCAACATGATGAAAACCCATTTCTACAAAATTAATACCAAAAAAATTAGCCAGGCATGGTGATGCATGCCTGTAGCCCCAGTTACCCAGGAGGCTGAGGTAGGAGGATCACCTGAGCCCAGGGAAGTTGAGTCTGCAGAGGGCTGTGATTGCATCACTGCACTCTTGCCTGGGTGACAGCATGAGGCCCTGTCTCAAAAATAAAATAAAAAATAAACACAGTGAATGTTTTTTTAAAAATCTAATTTATAATGGGCCCAAAACAAGCCAAGGGCCACTTCACATATCACAAGACTAACCCTGAGGTTGCAAAACTCATATGCCAGAGAATATCATCTTCATTTGCAGTGATAAAACGTAAATATAAAGGCTAAGCCCGACCCAGGAGCCTAATGTCATTAGTAAGACATAATCCTATTAAATTCATCAAACGCACCTTCAGTTATGGCTCTTTTGCTAAATATGGCATCAGGCCTTGATGAGTGAATGGGGCATCTAGGCTTGCCACTCAAGATGGGTAAATCTCTAATATTCTTGTAGGAAAACAAATATTTTTGTGGCAATTCCAACAGATTTAAAGGTGTGAGTCGAGGCCTCGAGGACTGCTGAATTCCTCAGTTTTGCTTTCATCCATTTTTCCCACACAAACCATGGCCTTTCCCTGCTTGCTATGGCTGAGTCATAGGTGGAGCTACTTGACTTTGTGAAGCAGCAGGCTGGGTGGTTTAGGCTCAGGTCAGAGGCTCTTGATGTAGAGTCCAGAGAGAGCACTGATCTCTAAGTCCCCAGAGATTAAATGTAATGCTTTATATACTGATGCACACACATTTGTGGGAATCAAGTTCCACGCCTTTCATCAGATTCACAAAGTGTACAGTGTCCTAAAAAAACTTATGAGTTATTGGTGCACAACTTTTCAGGCATAGGAGACATAAAGTTGAGCATATCCATGATTCTTGTATATATAATAAGAAGTACTAAAATTATTTTATGTACCAAACTCAAACACAAATAACTCAATAAGACCACACAGAGCAAGAAAAAACCTGAAAGCCTCTAAAGTATATAAAAAAAAAAACCCACACCCAAACCATTTCTTTTTCTTCTTCTTCTTTTTTTTGAGATAGGGTCTGGCTGTGTCACCCAGGCTGGAGTGCAACAGCACCATCTTGCCCACGAGAACCTCTCCCTCCAGGGCTCAAGCCATCCTCCCACCTCAACCTCTTGAGTAGCTGAGACTGGGTGCATGCCACCACACCTGGCTAATTTTTGCACTTTTTTGTAGAGATGGGGTTTCACCATGTTGCCCAGGCTGGTTTTGAACTCCTGAGCTCAAGCAATCTGCCCACCTTGGCCTCCCAACGTGTTGGGATTACAGGAGTAAGACACTTTGCCAAGCCCCATTTCTTATGGCTTGTTGCAAATTTGAAATTTTCTTCCTCTTAAATATTGTATTTCAGCTGTTGACGGCAAAAATCCCAATGATAAATGCAAGTTGAATGGTTTCTCAATACTTTACTACAAAATGTTTTGATGTCTTTGCTATACCTAATTTGTTTCTGTGTCTCTGCTCTCAGGTGTCTCCTGCAGTGGTTCTCAATTTCAGCACGCCTAGGCGTAATCTGGGGTGCTTACTAACCACACAGATTCCAGGGCCCTAGCCCCAGAGGTCTGGAGTGTAGCCCAAGAGCTTACCTTTATAATAAGCTTCTCAGATGATTCTGATGCAGGTGCTTTTCTCCCCATTTGTAGAGTAACAATGACCGAATGGAACCTTTCTTTCCATGCAAAAACCCCCTTCTGGATCATTTGAAGCAACCCCATTGCATCTCTGGGTAAACCACTTCTCTTCCTGACTCTGGAATAAGACTCATCTGACCTTCTAAGTGGCCCTTGTCTATTACTAGACTAGGTGGCATCACCATGCCTTAGCCATTCCAGGCAAACTTTCCAGATTTATCTACATGAATAGTTTCTAAATGGGTCACACCCCCTCCATCCACAACCAGTAAGTGTTCTAAGCATAAACAAATTATCACACAAATTAGAAGTTGAACACCAACAGATTTGTTCACAACCTTATCACTGGCAGAGACTAATGACTATAATGAATGGAAATTTTAATACGCCCTATTAGAGGTGACAATCAGAGATGTGATCAAGACCCAACTAAGGAATCCGCTAATTGAACCTCAATGCTACGTCGCCATTTGGTTTTAAATCATTACAAGAATCTCTTTAAGAGAGGGAGTTAACCTGCAAGATAACCTTAAGGCCAGGTTTGTGAGGTTGTTCCATTGCTGCCAGGTTGTGTTATTAAAACCTGGGAAGAATATCTTAAAGTTTTTCTTTTTTTAGGGCTTACAGACTGATCATTTGTTTTCCACACTCATTGTGAAGTCTAACGAGAAAATTTCATCAACAAATTTGAACTCTTGAAGGGAAAGTCTTTGCAGAATTCTAAGGCGTTTTAATTAGCATGCAGTTAAATCTCATTAATTTGGATTCCACAAACACAAAATTTGTTATAATTTGCTCAGAAACCACAATCCAGTTGGAGTTTGTGATACGAAGAAAGGCCTTTTAAAGTAAATTAATGAGATAAATAAAACTGCTCAGGAAATATTTAACTATTGTGAGTACAGTATTCAGTTTTGGAGGTGAAAAACTTGAAGGCCGTTCAATTGAAGTGATTTGCTCATGGAGGCATCCATAGTAAAGAAAATTAGCACTTAGCAGTGTAGCTTCTATCTTCCCATCCAGAACTCTCTTTATCCTATTGAGTATTACTAATAACATCTCTATTAGTCAGATGTACATCTTATTGTACTCAATAAATATTGGCAAGTTAACTATACCCCAGATGTTTTGCATGACACTTGGTAGCCTATGGGTTACAGAATCAATGACTTTTTGTTTTGCAAGCTCACCCTGCATTTCTGCAATTGGTATCATTCTAGTTACATCTGCCACAGCACTCTTAAATGGAATCGAAGTGATGACAATCTATAGTGGTGAAGGTTCTAGAATCATGTTGACTCCAGGAAGATGGGAACTGGCTCTGTCCCACCCTGCATGGTATCTTTGGTACTCCTGGAGACAGGGCACATGCTACTGCTGAAATCTTACATGAAGAAAAATAACACTCATGACATCTACAACAGTTTCAAGGGTTCAAGGAGAAGCTAAAAAGTACAGCAAAGGCAGTTCCCCAGGCAGTGAGTGGGCAGGATGCCATTTACCTGGAGAATTCCCTGTTCTGGGATCTGGCCCTGAACATCCTTACAGACTCAAGACCTGGCTTGTCATCACAGGCAGAGCAGATCTCTTGGAGGTGGGGGTGGAGTACTTACATTAACTAAGCTCAGACAGAGATGCTGATTCATAAAATCGTCTATGTAAATGTATTAACTAAACCAGCAATCAGATCACAATGCTAGTATTAGTTGATTAGTTCATATCCCTCTTATAAATTACATGAGAAGTCAAATCCAACCAGCAGATTGTTCAGTGACCATGAAAGTGGAATAAGAGTAGTAAATTTTAATGACATATTCACAATAGGGATGAAGTGGACATGTTACTCACCTATTTCACATCCAAACATCTCCTTTTTTCTTCTTAGCACTTCTTCCCATGGAGCTGCAAACAAGTGGGGTTAATGGGATTGACCCCAGCTCCCAGGGAGGGCCCTACTGGCCTAAGCCAACTAGCACACAGCGACTCTCTGGCCAAACTAATTGAATAAAGTGTTGGTATGGGATCTAAATTAGCAAAATCAGTGAAACTCAAGAATTTTCACTTTTTCAAGGGGAAAATAGGTGCTTTCTATGTCTTTGCTACATTTTTGCATCATCACTGCTGATGATTGTGTTTGGCTGAATGTATCAATTAGGTTTGTTTCCCTTCCATTAATTACAGAAAAAAAAAGTAAAAGTGATTGTCGTCACTTGTTCAGGGGTTTAAAAATGTCAGATTGGAAGTCCTAGCAATTCTTCTGGCCTTTCCCTGATGAGTGCAAGATGACCTCTATAGTTCCAGAAATTGTGACCAAGCCCACGCAGTAAGGAAGAATGCAGAAGAAGGAAGAGCAGTTCTTAGGATACCAAAACTTTTTTTTAGGAATAATCAGTACAATTAAACTTATGTCTCATTGACTAGGTCCCACGGCCACCCCTAGATATTAGGAAGCTTGGGAAATGTAGTATTCTACTAGAGCCATTGCAAAAACAGATGTCCCTTTTAGTTAGGAAGAAAATTAGGATGAGCAATGGATAACTTTATGCAAATTTTGTAGACATAAATTGCAAAATCTTGTGATTTTTTGGTATGTAAAAAATTGCAATAGCAGTGGCAGTAGTAGAAGAAATATATTTCTCCCAAGGTGTGACTTTATGATTAAATCTCTGGGACACACTGGGATCTGACTTCAAATAGATAAGTAGAGGTAATAAGATAGGAGTGAGTGATGAGGAACTGGCATCCTCTTAGAAGCTAGGCAAGGTCTTTCTAAGGTCTTCAGACAGGTTTGTGTCCTTCAGAGGATAAGGGCTGCTGCTGCTGATAAGGAGGATTTAGGGAGGTTGGGAGTGTGAGTCATCTGAATCCTCCCAAATGTCTCTACTCTAATTCTCAGGGTCCCATTCTTTTCTTCCCAATGTCCTAAATTTCACTTAAGAAACACAGCCAATCTTTCAATGCAGCCTGTAATTCAATAAGTCACAGAATCAGAGCATATGTTTGATGTTCAAGTTCATCAACCTTGTTGCTATAAAAGACGATATTCTTTTAGGCCAGTCAAAACTTCTCTTGTTTTCTGAGACTACATTGAGGCAATAATTTAAAACCTTGAGCCTGTTTTATTTTTCTTTCCTTAAGATTTTTAGCACAATTCCATGTAGCCAGTACAGCCACGTTTCTTAAAATACTATACGGAAGCAGCCACTTGAGTTTCCCAAAATGCTGCCTTCAGTAGGCACTTCACTCCAATTAACCAAAGCCAATATTTACGGAAATGTTTTGCTCCACATGCCTTCAAACTCAACTATGTTAAATAGCTAACCCCAGGTTCCCATTTACTTGACAGTCCATTAGGTACAAATATTTCCAGCACCAATTACTACTCTTAGTTGCAAAATCATAATCTACTTTATCCAGGCTAAGTAGAAAAGGATCAATAAAGGATATAAGTAGTTTACAGAATCTCTGAGAGGGCCTGGAAACCAGGCATGGATAATGTAGATCCAGGAACAATTCAGATGGGAAAAAAAAAATTCATGTGGAATGTTTTTCAATTTGCTGTCATCTCTGATTTCTTTTAGCAGTGTTCTGTAATTCTCATTGTAAAGGTCTTTCACCTCCTTGGTTAGCTGTATTCCTAGATATTTTATTCTTTTTGTAGCGATTATGAATGGGATTGCATTCTTGATTTTGCTCTTAGCTTGAATGTTGTTATATAGGAATGCTACTGATTTTTGTTCACTGATTTTGTGTCCTGAAACTTTGCTGAAGTTGTGTATCAGATCAGGGAGCTTTTGGGCAGAGACAATGGGGTTTTCCAGGCAGAGAATCGTACTATCTGCAAACATGGAGAGGTTGATTTCCTCTCTTCCTATTTGGAACAACTGAGGAATGTTCGTCTGGAAGAAAAAAAATGAACATAGACCCCTGCCTAACACTAGAAACAAAAACATTCTGGATGGAGTCAAGATTTTAATGCAAAATATGTAACAATAAAAATATTGGAATAAAAATGTGAAATTCTATGTAGTCTTGGAGATACAATAAGACAGGAGACCTTAAATCACAAGAGGAAGGTTGATATATTTGAGTATTAAAACATATAGCAAAGATACCCAAAACAAAAATAAGACAAGCAATAGAATAAAAAAGTATTTACATAACATATAACAAAGTATTGATATCCCTAATATACAGTTTCTAAGAATTGATGAGAAAAAAATTAAGTCACTTGGTTGGAAAAAGGGCAAAATATAATAACAGGTAAGTTATCAAAGATTGCATTTAAATGTGTAATAAATTAAGAAAATAGGCTGAACTTCACTAGTTAGTTGGCAACGAGGAAATAGTTTTCCCCTAAAATTTCACAAATATTTTAAAAAATGAAACAGTGAAGACGAAGAATAATCAACATGACAAACACTTTGCTGGTGGGAATATACAGTCAATCCTTATTATTTGTGGATTCTGTATTCACAAATTTGCCTACACTCTCAAATGTATTTGTAACCCCAAAGCCAATACTTGTGGCACTTTGGAGATCATTTGTGGTCATTCATGGTCACGTGCAGTGTGGTCACCCAGCATGCATGTTCCCAGTCCAGGCAGAACAAGATGACATTCTCCTTTCTTGTTTCACCCTCATAATGTAAATTAGTATCCTTTTGGTGGTCAATTTAATGCCACATTTTCTGCACAGGGCTGAATCCTTATCTAACACATGGACTTTCTCCATAATGCACTTTACAGACTTTAGTAAAGGCACTTTAGTCTGTAAAGTGCCTGATAGAGAAAGTCCATGTGTTAGATAAGCATTGTTCAGGCATGGGACATATTGCTGGCCATGAGTTCAATGCTAGGTTATCAATAATATGTAATAAATAAGCTGACTGGGAGTAGTGGCTCACGCTTGTAATCCCAGCACTTTGGAAGGCCAAGGTGGGTGGATCATGAGGTCAAGAGATCAAGATCATCCTGCACAACATCGTGAAACCCCATCTCTACTAAAAATACAAAAATTAGCTGGGCATGGTGGTGTGCACCTGTAGTCCCAGCTACTTGGGAGGCTGAGACAGGAGAATCACTTGAATCCAGGAGGTAGAGGTTGCAGTGAGCTAAGATCGTGCCACTGCACTACAGCCTGGTGACAGAGAGAGACTCCATCTCAAATAAATAAATAAATAAATAAGATGTATTTAAACAGAAACACATGTAAAACAAGGTTATGTATTGATGGGTTGAAAAATGTGTGACAAGGAGCTTGCAGAAACCTAACCCTGTATTTCCTCCAGAGTTAATAACTAATATACTGATACAACATATTAATTTAATATTAATATACTGATACAGCATATTAATTCAATATTAATATACTGATACAACATATTAATTCAATATTAATATATTGATACAACATATTAATACATTAACACAGTGAGTCAGTGTCTGCTACTTCAGTGCTCAAGGTGATTTTATAGGACATAACTAAGTGGAATCATGATAATCAACTGTAATTTACCTCAAGCTTTTAGGAAAGTCATATTATAATACTAATAGAATTTAAAATGAACATAGCCTTTGACTCGGAAATCCCATTTCTGCTCATCTATCATCCCCAAAATAAAGGCATTTGTAATGGCAATGAAATAAAACACATGCAGCAACAATAGAAAACAACCTGAATGTTCACCTATGGGACACGCTTGAATATCTTAATAATCCATTCCATAGAAAACTATAGAATTTAAAAGAATGTCATTCTTCAAAGTTTTTTTCAACTTTTCCTTATGATACTGGACTACTGTGCCAGTATTTAGCCCTAAATGGGTTTTAAGCTGCATTTTCAAGCAACCTGACACACATATGTATGTGGGTGTTTGTATGTATATGTGTAAATGTGTGTGAATACATATATAGATGTACATACATTTTTAAAATACCTGGAGTGTTTGGCATTATGACTTGAGAAAAGTAAATCTCCAAATTTTATAATATGACCTAGTATATAAAAACAAACAAGAGAAGCAAAAAATAAAACCTCTTAAAAATGTATATATGTTTGTAAGTGTGAAAAATGGCATGGAAGGATGCTCATGCTCACCAGTATTGTTGCTAGTAACAACTGCTACTAGTATTGCTACCTCAGGGTAAGAGAAAAAGAAGGATCAACCAAGATTTACTTTTCCTTTCCTCATATTTGCATTCCTGGTTACAATGAGCCCATATTGTGTTACTTTTTTTTAAATTAGAAAAAAACTATAAAAAAGAAAATTCAGTTGAATATAAACAAAATGCAGATTCTTTGAGCCCACTCCAAATATTTTTGGTGTCTATGCAGTAAAGCCCTAGGATGTGCATTTTTACAGGAGATTCTCATGCTAGAGGTCTTCTTACCACACTGTGAGAATCCCAGCTCTGTGATGACATCATCTTAATATCCAGGCAGTCTTCCTGTGGGAATGCAACTGATGAGGTTGTAATGGCTAAATGCAACCATCCTCCCATTCTACTTTCATGAGATTGCTCCCATATCACCTTGATTAAAGTTTTGGGTGTTCTCAAACTCTTTAACCATGCATTCATTGACAATCTGTTCCTTTCCCACCACAGACGGCTAATGCTATCCACTGCATGTGGGTTTTCTCTCATTTAACTCTTGGGGGGCACTTTGATTTACCTTATCTTTGAGCTGTTAGGAGAAGGGGTCTACCGCTAGCCCCCTGAACCAACAACTTTGTCCTTTTCCTTACAAAGGTTTTTATTAGGAGGAGCTACCACTATAAAATGAAACACACACCTCCGAATGTGCCTGTTTTTCTGTTGCTGAGGAAGAACTTGGTTATCTTTACCAAAAGGTCAAAGTTATTTCTATATATACATTTGTAAAGTAAATTTTTTTCCTCCAAAACCAAATATATTCTCATCTATGTAATTATCAGAGAGAACTGTCACCTTGTCGCCCAACATAAAAATTATGTGTCTCATCAAAGGCATAGGGGAAAGCAGAGAGACAAGCAAGAGATGAACAGCAACCAGAGAGAGAGAAACACACACCTCAGCGCCGTTCAAGGCTGATTAGCTCTTCAATTTTATTTCTACAGGTTCATTATTTCGCCAGAACTGTTCCCAGGCAGGAAGTGTCATTTTGAGCTTATGTTAATTATTTTCCTTAGAACCAAAATTGTAAGACCTGCAATTAGATGTGCACATGTTTGTATTTTCCTTTACATGTTAGTGAAATGATCTTTAAATTGCCTTATTACATTTCACATTTAAAGGGCCTAGAAAGAAATTTACCCTACATGGTAGGGATTCCTCTGTCCTCTTAGTAACAAGACTGATAATTCCTCGTGTTGGTGCGGTGCCTTACATTTGTTTTGCTGTACCTGCGGTAACTAATTGGAGCTAGGATAAATGGCAAAGCCTGCATGAATACACCTGAGGTCCCGTGACATCTTTACATTTATAGAAAGCATAATCCAATAGCTAAAATACTTTACAACATCCAGCAAGGTTGGCTAGACCAAAGGCTATACCCTGCTCTGGACGAGGCCTGAGCCTTACCAAGTGAGGCATGCAGCATGTCAATGAAACAAACTAGCTACCTCCATGAAACAAACTAGCTCTGAAGTCCACATAATTCTCAAAAGAGAATTTGGACCTACAGAATAAGGTGAAACATATACTTCCATATACTGTTTGTCGTGAGATCTTTAGATGATAGAGTGGACAATTAATTGGTAGCATATAATACTATTTAAGTATTTAGGATACTTTCCGTTTTCCAGAACCTCAGGAAACCTTCAGACGACCTAGGAAGGTGAGGGAGTATAGAAAATAAAGTAGGGGTTCCTCTTCAAAGACTTTCCTCCCCATCTAATTAGGAATAAATAGTAACTTCTCTTAGAAGCAAAAATTATTCAAAGACCTGTGCTAACATTCTTAAATATCTGCTAGCCATAATAAAGAAATCAATGTACTTTATGTTCTTAGCTCCCACAATTTAGCCTAAATATTTGCCCTGGCATGCTTACACTGGTCCAAGCAAGCATTAGGTCTTAGCCTGTTCCTCTTCCTTATTTGAAGGTGTTTTTACCTTTCTCGGCATTCCACAAGTTACTTCCTCCTTCCTTTGTTCTCCTCTGCCTTTGCCTCTTTTAAAAAGTTCTAAGTTGCTAGCCAATCAGGACAAATACAGAATGTGAGGTCCCGTTCCAGCCAATGGAAACGGGACACAGCAGTAGGGTGGACGCATCAGGTTATAAATGACCCTGCCTCTTTTGTTTGGTGTACTTTCATGGCAAAACTGCTGGTGAGTGTACCCTTTCTGCAGAAAGTAAAAAAAATGGCCTTGCTGAGGAAATTAAATTTATGTTCAAGTGCTATTTCTTTATGGCACTGGGCAACAAGCATTTCTAACAGGGAGAAACAGAGAAACAGT
Source organism: Homo sapiens (assembly GCF_000001405.40). Lineage (NCBI taxonomy): Eukaryota > Metazoa > Chordata > Mammalia > Primates > Hominidae > Homo > Homo sapiens. Next base: position 72,215,356 of record NC_000014.9, on the reverse strand, counting down.
CCCTTTCTTTCTATCTCTACCCCGTCAGCAAAGCAGCAGCCTCCAAGCACTCAGAAATAGACACAGCCTCAAAGAGATGATGGTCTGCATGAAGGTCATGTCTCTGGCTGATTGGCTGGAAGTCAAGAATGAGTTTTTACACATTTGAACAGTAAGGCTTCCTAGAAAAGGAGGAAGAGAAGAGTGGATAGCAGCCCCTGGTATTGAAATCAGTAATGGAAGCAACAAGTTGTAGAGTCTGACAGTGACATGAACAACAACGAATACAATTAGGACTGTTTTCTGGTCTGTGTTACCTGGAACTCACTAAAGGAAAGGCTTCACAGTGTCCTGATGACAGTCATAGACCAGAAAATAGAATAACAGAGTTCTAACTCTGGTTCTGGCACTTACAAGTCAGGTAAATTTATGCAAATTGCAAATCTTCAAATCTCATTTTTCTTATTTATATTAAGAAATGAGAATAATTTCTCTATCATATTGCTCTGTAAGTCCTCATGGCTGGATGGTTTTCTTCCATCCTTACCTGGTTCTTTCCTTACCCTACTCCCCATGTTTTTTTAAGAGACAGTGTCTCACTATGTTGCTCAGGCTGGACTCAAACTCCTGGGCTCAAGCAATTCTCCTACCTCAGCCTCCCAAGTAGCTAAGACCACAGGTGTGTGACACTGCACCCAACTTTCCTGACCTCTTTTTTGATAAATGGCTGTATATACATATTCTTCCACATATTATACATATAATTAAGCAATTTTACTATCAATTGCAATTTTAAAGATTCTTTTTCTTCTAACATTTGCATGCCTTGGGGGCTAAAAATAAGATGGTCAGACGCCTGCATTGTAGCTCAATCACGTTTTGGAAAATTAGCTTCATTATTTGATTCTTGTTAATTTCTAAACATAACAGATTGTAATTTATACATACACACGCTAGAAAGTTACGAATTCTAGGATTATTTTTAAAACAGTGTCAGTATGGTGAAACTCCATCTCCATCAAAAATGCAAAAAATCAGCTGGGCATGGTGGCACGTGCCTTTGGTCCCAGCTACTCAAGAGGCTGAGGTGGGAGGATCGCTTGAGCCCAGGAAGCAGAGGCTGCAGTGAGCCGAGGTTGCACCCACTGCTCTCCAGCCTGGGTGACAGAGTGAGACCCCAGTGAAAAAAAAAAAAAAAAATAAGAAAATAAACAGTGTAGTTTTTTTTCTTCTGGCCAAGTGAAAGGTCACCATTATACTCTATCCAAATGAGTTTAATGTAACTCAAAATGCATAAAACAAAAGTAGCTGCTCTATCCCAGAAATAAGTTGGCTCCAGCATTAGTGCCAGGTCAGCCAATATCCCACCCAGAATTGGCCTCACTGACAACTACCTCTTCAGCACAATGTGATAATAGTCTTAAAGATGAAGCTAGGTCATCAAGAAAAGATCGTGTTCAATGTACACAGTATTAAATACCAAAATATAGAGAGTAGTGTCAAATAAAAACAAACCTAGACTTAGGTAAGGACAGACTTTACTTTTAAAGAATACGCCAAATGGACAGGATCATTTTTGCAATAGGGAAAAGACTCTGACCATAAGATCTATAAACATCCAGATGGTCAGGCTGAAAGGGCTTCTCTTTTAATGAAGAGGAATAAACATGGCTAGAAGGAGCTAGGCATGGGGGATGCACACGTGGGATGATGTGACAGCTGAACAAGAAAGATTTGTTTGCAGCCAATGGAGAGTCTCAGGAAGGGCCATTAAGGAGGGGTTGTTCCCAGTTCCAACACTTGCTTAGCTTCAGGAATGAGTCAAAGTTTACAGGCTGTGGAGGAGGAGACAAGCTTCACTACAGCGGTCAAATCAAATTAGTAAGTATTTTGTCCAGATTGATCACAGGGGGGTAAACGTTCAGCTAATCATTTATGAGACAGAGAAAGGGAGTTTGGAGGGCCTGTGTCTGGCCTCGTCATAGGTGAACAAGAGGATCCTCTGTGAATCTTACATACGTCATGTGGTGACTTAGCCTAGTATACAGTGTGGCTTTGGGGCCTCTTTCCTGGCCCACTGAGAAGCTCCCAGGAGTAACATCAAAAAAGCTTTCATAGAAAGTCTCGAGAGGCAAACCTGTCTATTTCATAGCTCCCAGTTTGAAATATACAGGAGTAGTGTTAAGAATTAGGAAAACAGCCCAAAGATGTTGGTAAGATTATCTTTCCCCAAGGAGAAACCTCCTAACACAGGCCTCATAGTCAAGCTTCTAGGATTAATAAGATAAACTATAAAATAACCCAGGGGAATGCTGGTCTCATTAGCTTGGGACTACCCTCCACCCCTTCCCACTTGACTCCTTTACCCAGGTAATGCAATACAACTGGTGTAGAGACTTGACAGGTGGGACTTTAAAAAGGGATAGGTGGTCAGGTATCTGTGCATGGTCCTACTTTGAAACGTTCCCTTTCCTTTCAGAAAGTGACGTAAAAGAGTCAGGAAGTTGCCCTGTTCCTCTCTGGATGTACAGGATACCCAGTGGCATCCTTGGAACTGGGCCTACTCCATCACTATGCTGAATTCCTTTCCTCTTGCATGAGCCTACAAAGGAGGTTATGTTGTGGGTTTGTGTCCAACTACAAGACTAGAGAATCACTCCTAGAGGGCATTTACTGATTTGGGGATTTCCTTGTATCTTCCAAAATTAATAATAGTGACAAACACATACTGGGAAACAAACATTGATTAAGCACAAAGGGGAGAGATGTCACAGAAAGCAAGAATACAAAACTGTAATAATTAAATCTCTGATGTGTCACTGGAGAACTTCCAAAGTAACATGCCTGCCAATTTTTGAAAAATCTCAACTGTATTCAGCTACCCACAGCATCTAATCACAGCTCCCATGGACAAAAACACTGCCTTCATGGCCCCTCATAAATCATAACACTATCTGCCTCCAGTTTGACCATTACTCTCCTCTCTGTTGACATTGTTGGCAGCTAACACAGGCAATTCAGCAAGGTCAGCTTAGCTAAAGTAAGTCTTTGCTTAGGTTATCAATATCAATATTAGACAACATATCATGAGTATTTAGCATAATTAGCATTGTCATGTCCCCAAAGCATTGCCCAGTGCTTCATGTCTTAGAAGTCTTGGTGCTGAGTCCTCAAAATGGACACAAAGGGAGCTGTGTGCAATTGAGGAGTCTGGAGGGTACTGCCGGTCACAGCTATTCTAATTTTATTTTTAAAATTCTGGACTTTCTCAGGCACACCAACATCTGTGGCTCTAGGTGCTCTCCCCCAGGTAACGTACTGGTTCTATGCTAGTTTCTTTGGTGACAGCTTTCAATATTTAGAAAGCCAACCTGAGATAAAACCTAACTTCCTGACTACATCACCTCTCTCAGGTTATGGCAAAGCTAGATTAACTTGTAATCAATTTACTGGCCATGTCTAGTTTCTAATTTTAATTGCACATATCTTCACGGCCTGCCCCTTCCCTTATTTTCCAAGGTTTTATGTAATATCCAAATAATGCTACATTCCTTAGAATCAAACATGGAGAAAATAGTAACTCAGCCCTCTTCTTTTTTCCTCTGGGCTGGACATGGTTTCCTAAATTCGGAGGCTGTCTAAAAATAGGGTATTTTGCAGTTGAACTTCGTATCCCAAGTCTATTCTAAGATGATTCTTACGTTTGGGGGTCATTGTGGATCTTGGGAACTTAACATTATCTATTCTATTATATTTTCTCTCTTGTTACCGGACTTCTGTCTTCAGCTGAATCCTTCCAATAAGCTTTGAACCTATTCAAATATCTCCCATCTAAAATAAATTATTTCCTAGTCCTCAGTCCCCTATCCTCCTACAGCCACTGTTCTATTACTACTGTCTTTACAGCTAATCTGAAGGAAGTGTCCGTACCCACAGCTCAACTGCCTTAGCTTCCACTCCTTCCTCAACCTACCAGTTTGACTTCTAGCTGCATAACTCCCCAAAAACAATGCTTGTTAAGGTCACTAATAACCTTCAAGTCTCTAAATTCAAGACATATTTTTCAGTCCTCTTTATACTTAATATTTTAGCTGCACCTGACACTGTTGACCTCGTCTTCCTTTTTAAAACACTTTCCTTGGCTTCTGTGATACCTCTGTATCCAGATTTTCCTCTTATCTTTCTGATTCTTCAAAACCTCCAAGATTTGTCTCTGGACATCTTTTCTGAATAACTCTAGGTTATGGCCAAGATTAGTGTCAGTGACCTGCTCTGTTCACATATATTTGTCTGAATTTCTTTGATGTATATGCTTAGTATTTTCTCAGGAATTTATGTACCCCCCAGATTTAAAAGCAAATGGTAAAACAAAGGGTTCTGATTTTGACACAAGATGAAAAATGTCACATTGGCCATTTTTTATTGATATTTTGTTATTAAGTATTTTGACTGGTAGTATGGATACATACAGACAAAAGTTTGTTGTTTATTGCTCAATTACAGAGTACCATTTGGAAGCTGTCTCTTTATATGATGGTTTAAAAAAAAACAAAAACAAAAACAAAAAAACTGGTAGAAAAAAACAGGGGAAAGAGTAGCCAGCAGTTTTAGAAGAGTTTTAAGATGGCATTTCTGGGAATTCAGGACAAAGCAGAGTGGAGAAAGGAAAAAGCAGAAGACCAGGTAGATCAATTCCAAAAGGATTTGCACTGTTAAGGTGTAGTCTCTTGTTTTCTAGATGATTAGATGCAATGGGAAGTGCTACCTCCCATCCCCGCAAACATTCTCACTGAGACAGAGTTTAAACAAGAGTGAATCTGTTCTTCAGGACAAAGACCTGAAGTGACTCAAAAATAAAACACTCTTCTTTCTTTCAAATGACAAACATTATTTTCCTCAATGACTTCTCACCTAAATACACTCATAATGTGATATCATGTCCTTCCTTGATTAGACACACACAGGTGTTAAATTTTGGACAAATCTGACGATGAAAGGAAGGCTTGTGGAGACCAAATGTAGGTGAAAAAAATACAAGCAACCTGAACTAGGAGCCCCTGGAAGCTCACCTCTCTAGCAGCAAAAAGGAACTAGAGGGAATGTGCCATCTCTCATCCTTCTCTGAATAACTTGCTTCTTCTGAGCTAAGAATAGTGTGCTCAATCTGCCTGTGGCTCTAACGGATTAATCCTCAACCCACACGGGCCAACCAAGTTTTTGAACACTTTATTAGATAATTTTCTCCATCTGTCAAAATTCCAACTCTAAAGGAAAAAAGCGATTCTGGGATAACTCAACTCAATTTTCAGCTCCTTCAAGACAAGAGATCCTCTTCCTGAGTATCTGTATTCTGCAAAGAGTTTGGTCCATAAAAGGGTGCTCTCTAAATATCTACCTAATATGGCAATAATTAGTTTTGATAAGACCATTACGCAGATAAAACTGAATGATTAATAACCATATTTAACTGGTCAGTCTACTTATGTAGATTGTTTCATCAAGAGTGCTTTCTTAAGAAAGAGCCGGGCCATACTACAGTCTTCATTCTTATGCTCTGAGAAACTAACCTAAAACAATACGAATTAGTTATAGATGGAGGACAAGGATCATGATTTAGGTGTTCTCACCACTGCATGCTCCCTGAACGAAAGGAGAAGTCAGGGAGCCAAGCACAAAAAATCCTTCTGGAGTGAGGCTACTCAGTGCTTTTCTCCTGGCCATCTAGTCCCAAATCTGAATGTTACCATGTATGGGACAATAAGCTGGCAGCATGGGGAGGTGAGAGGGTTTCCACCAGTGACCTTGAAATTGTCCTGCATGTAGACAACTGTGTCACATCCCCCAGCTAATTAAGTGGCTGGCAACAAGCACATCACTCACTTAAGGTGACTTTGAATTTAAATGTTTTACTACCAAAATGGCAGATTTTAATAAAATTGCTCACTTCAATGCTAAGAAGAAGTAGAAGAAATAGAAAGAAAAATTTATAGACACATTTATAAATTTATAAAACACAGCATTTTGAACTCAAAAGATTCAAATGATTATTGCCTTTTAAAGAATAGAATATGTATACTTTTTATCTGCCTTTCATTTTTCTTGTTAGATACTAAACGTACGCATATATTATATATTTTGAGATAGGGTCTCACTCTGTCACCTAGGCTGGAGTGCAGTGGCACAATCATAGCTCACTGCAGCCTTAACCTTCTAGGCTCAAGCAATCCTCCCACCTCAGCCTCCCAAGTATCTGGGACCACAGTCGTGTGCCACCATACCCAGCTAATTTTTGTAGAAATGGGTTTTCACCTTTGTCCAGGCTGATCTTGAACTCCTGAGCTCAAGCAATCCACCTGCCTTAGCCTCCCAAAGTTCTGGGATTACAGGTGTGTGCCACCACATCTGACTTTTGTTCTTATTTCATTGATATTCTTATTTCATTGATATTCTTATTTCATTATTCTTATTTTACTGACTTGGAAGTATAGTAATAGACCTATCATGGGATAGCAGGAAGGGAGAAAGCAATTATGCTTTCTGATTAAAAGACATGATGTAAAGTATCATATACATTACCTAGTTACTGACAGGCATTCAATAATATTAATTCTTTTCCCATCCTATTATGCCTTGCTGATACGATTAGCAGACTTTTAGACCTGGATAAACCAGTAGCATTGAACAAGTTATGCTGAAATAGTCAAGGTAGCCTCTGAGACATTTTTTCATTCAACAAATACTTGCATCTAATATAGTCAAGCACTATGTTGGAAGCTGGAGATACAAAGGGAAATAGGACCCAGGCCTGTCCTCACAGACCTTAAGGTCTCATGCAGCAGAGAGATCAATAGAAAGACCATTATACTAAGGTATGATGTTGGTAAGACATGGTATATATCTCTTGAAACTCTGGGTTGTAAGTGACAGAAAACCTAACCCTTAGTGGTTTAAGCAACAAGGAAGTATTTTGGCTCAAACGACTGAGGAATTGGAGGAAGAGCTGGTCAGGCATCGCTTCATGAAAGGCTCATCCCAGTATCACCAGGACAGGACTTCTCTCTCTTTGCTCAGCTGTGTTTCCCTCTGTGTTGGTTCCATGCTCTGATGGGCTTCCATCTGCAATGTCTCAGCTCCAATAGCAGTAAGCCTAGCATGCATTATGCACATGCCTAGAGATAGAGAGTTTCTCTCCTTCAGAAAGTAAAGTCTTCATAGTGACTCTCACTGGCTCAAATCGGGTTTTGTGTTCTCTTCTGAACCCATCACAGGATCTAGAAGGATGAGATTTACTGATTACCTTAGCAACCCCTAGAGCAGAGGGTAGAACCAACTTCAACCAAACTAGGTGGACTGAGTAAAAGAGAGATGATTCCAATTACAGCAACTGCAGCCTCAAACACATAGAGCCCTTATTATGCCCCAGGCACTTCTAATCCACTGAGAGATATTCATTCACTTCCTCCAATTAACAATCTCAGGAGGTCGGTACTATTATTGTCCTATTAATAGATGATGAATCATGATAAGCCTGAAGCGTGGACAGCTTAATAACCTTGCCCGAAGTCTCTCACACACAATGAACTGTTTTGTCAGGAAAAGGGAGAGTGCCTATTGGGTGGCAAAAACAAGAGATGGAAGAAGTGGAAGATGCTCTGAGAAACAGAGAAGTAACTGAATCAGAAATGGAGTCATTGGAGCTGAAACCGGAAGGCAGAGTGAGAATAAGCCTGGGTGAGGTGAGCTGTTGATGGGAGTTGAAGATAAAGGTGTTGGCCAAAGATGTGCCAGAGGAAACATGAACTGGAAAGTGAGGGGCCTTGCAATCTATCTAAGGAAACTAGAAATTTATCTTGAGGGCAATGGGCAGCCATGGAAAATTTTATTCAAGACAATGACAGAGATTAGGCATAAAGGGTGGACAATCTAGATGTACGGATGAACAAGATGAAAGCAAGAAGCCAGGTAACAGGATATTGCACTAGGAATTTACCTTGCCCATTTCAAATGCCTAGTTTCCAGTAATCTCATATACCTAAAAACCATAACATTGAAGTCATTAGAAATATAACTGAATATCTACTGGCACATAAATATGCAGGGAATAATCACATTTATCCCATATTGTGAAATAAAAGCAGCAGATTACAAAATGGTCTAAATGGAAAAATTACATTTTTTAAAAACAAACAATACATCTATAGAAAAAGGTATGGAAGATTAATAGTAATTACATTTGGGCAGAGAGATTACATGGTTCTTTTTCTTAATTTGCTTAAAAATAAATATGTTATGTCTATGAGTTTAAGAGATGTTTAAATTGTTTCATAAATTACAGAAGCAATGTATACTAATTATAAAAAATTCAAACAATATGCAAGGATACACAGCAAAGCAGGAAGCAACCCTCCTACCCTCTAGAAAATTCTATTTCTTTCTCAAGAGGAAGAATAACCACTATTAACAGTTTGGTGTGTATCCTTCCAAACAAATCTATGTGGTTGTACATGTATTTTATATATATACATATATGACATGGTTTGGCTGTGTCCCCACTCAAATCTCATCTTGAATTGTAACTCCTACAATTCCCAAGTGTCATGGGAGGAACCCAGTGGGAGATGATTGAATTATGGGATGGGTCTTTCCTGCATTGTTCTCATGATAGCGAATGAGTCTCATGAGATCTAATGGTTTTAAAAATGGGTGTTTCCCTGGACAAACTCTCTTTTTCTGCCTGCTGCCATCCATGTAAGAAGTGACTTGCTCCTCCTTTCCTCCCGCCATGACTGTGAGGCCTCCCCAGCGATGTGGAACTGTAAGTTCAATTAAACCTCTTTCTTTTGTAAATTGCCCAGTCTCAGGTATTAGCAGCATGAAAACATGCTGTGTGTGTGTGACACACACACACAATATTGTGCATACACACAGAAATTATATATATAATACCATATGTATATATCTTTTCCTATAGAAGTAATTATATTAAAATATTGCTCTACGACTTGCTTCTTCCAGGTAACAAAATACTATGTCCATCTTTCCATGTGAATACATACAGGTGGGCTGTTTATTTTTTTAGAGATGGGGGTCTCACTGTGTTGACCAGGCTGGTCTTGAACTCCTGGCCTCAAAAGATCCTCCCATCTTGGCCTCCCGAAGTTCTGGGATTACAGGCATAAGCCCCTGTACCAAGCCTGCTCATTATTTTGACTGTTGTACAATATTCAAGAGTAGAGGCATATTATAATTGATTTACCTGGTCTATTATAGACATACATTTAAGTTGTTTCCAACGTTTTCTTACTATGAACAGTACTGCAATAAAGCCCCTTGTATATATGTGCAAGAATGATTTAAGATTAACTTCTAGAAGTAGAGTTGCTGGGCCAAAGGGCATATACATTTTAAATTCTGATAAATAGTACAAAATTGCTTGCCTAGAGGCATGTCCAATTTATACTCCCAGCAGAAAACAGTCCATGACTGTTTTACCATATTCTCATCAACCCTGATGAGATTAGTACAGATTATCAATGTAATTTTGGTCAGTGGGCAAATAAACAGCATTTCGGTCTGCAGAACACACTTTAGAAAACACTGATCAGTAATAATTTTTGTTTTTTTCTGAGCCTTAGCCAGTAAACTATTTTTATTTCAAATGTGTTTAACAGTCCTTCCAAAATACTCATCACCAGAAACCTTTGCACACAATATTAATTTATTTCTTTGGCTTAAATATGCAATCATCTGAATTAATTTTCAGCTAATTAAGGATCTGGATTGGTACTATTCCACAGGACCACAGAAGTATAAAGATATGGCTGGAATATATGATGGCTCAGAACACATCCATGAGCTGGTGTTTGGAATGAGACCCTGAATTGTTTAGGTTTGACCTGTGAGAGGGGACAAGGATGGAAAGAGATACTACCATTTTGAAAAATTTTAAATAATAGTTTTAAAAGCAGCCTGCTTGCACGTTGCATAGTCATATGCAAGCCCTCCAGGGGAAGTAACTGTTTCTTATTCACTGCACAGGACAGCTCACCAGGAAAGAGGGCGGACACATTAAAGTGATACTGGGAATGTGCATGGAAGAAAGAGAATAAACCATAATGGGTACAAGGATAGTATCTTGGTGGTGAATGTGAGCAACTGAGGGAGGGGTGGATCCACTCCCAGAGGAGATATGATGAGGACATGGGAGCTCAACACTGTCCAGGGGAGGCTTCTCCTTCCTTACAGGAAGCTCTGCTCCCCATAAAGATTGTACTGGGAAGAAGATGTAGGAATCATATTTTGTATTGCCACAGTTCTGCCTCTGCTCTGCCCTCTATCTGCTCATGCTGTCAGAGATCTAAAGATGTGATCTCTGCTGAAGCACCATGAAGATCTGAGAAGCCGTGCAGGAAAACCCTGCCTGGAGTCCATGGTGGCCAAACATCATGGCTTGGGGCCATCTATTTAATCTTATATTAAAGAGTAGAAACTTGGGGGTGCTCCCCCTGGATATAAGTACAGCACTATGAGGCAGGCAAAATCATCTGCTAGGTCTGAATGTTTCTGTCCCTCCGAAATTCATATGTTGAAATCCTAACCCCTAGGCCATGGCATTAGGAGGTAGGGCTTTTGGGAGGTGATTAGCTCATGGGAACAGAGCCCTCATGAATGAAATAAGTGCCCTTAAAAAGAAGCCTGAGAGAGACCCCTTGCCCCTTTCATCATGTGAAGACACAGCAAGAAGGTGCCACCTGTGAGGATGCAGGCCCTCACCAGACAGACTCTGCCTTGCCTTTGGACTTTCCAGCCTCTAGAACTGTGAGACATAAAATCCTGTTGTCCATAAGCCACCCAGTTTATGGTATTTTGTTATAGCAGCCTGAACAGACTAAGATATCATCCTTGTTTTACAAAGGTTGAAACTGAGGCAGGTTACTACCTGCCTAAGGTCACATAGCCTGTATGGCAGGCAGCTTCTGGGACTGCCTTCTAGGATGTCTTCCTCCTGGTCTTCTTGTCCTTCAAGATACCCTCCCCCTGGAATTGTGGGCTATGTTTGGTGACTTGCTTCCAAGAAACAGAATATAACAGAATGGTGGTATGTTGCTTCTGAGATTAGGTTGCAAAAACACTGTAGCTTCAAGTTTCTGTTTGGGGTGATGAAAAGTTTTAGAAATAAATAGTGGTGATGGTTGTAAAACACAGTGAATATACTTAATGCCACCTAATTGCACACCTAAAAGTGGTTACAATAGGCCAGGTGTGGTGGCTCATGCCTGTAACCCCAGCACTTTGGGAGGCCGAGGTGGGCAGATCACTGGAGGTCAGGAGTTTGAGACCAGCCTGGCCAACATGGCAAAACCCCGTCTACTAAAAATACAAAAAATTAGCCAGGTGTGGTGGTGCACACTTATAGTCCCAGCTACTTGGGAGGCTGAGGCAGAAGAATCTCTTGAACTCGAGAGGTGGAGGTTGCAGTGAGCCAAGGAAGTATCACTGCACTCCAGCCTGGGTGACACAGCATGACTCTGTCTCAAAAAAAAAAAAAAAAAAAAAGAAAGAAAGAAAGGTTACAATAGCAAATAATGTTGTGTATATTTTATCACTCACACAAAAATCTTTTTCAATGCCTTGCCCACATTCCCAGTGAAAACAAAAACACTGTAGCTTCCATCTTGGATCTTTCTCTCAGATTCCCCTCTCTGGGGGAAGCCAGCCACCATGTTGTGAGCAGCCCTTTGGAGAGGCCCAGGTGGCAAGGAACTGATGTCTCTAGCCAACAGCCATGATGGATTTGAGGTCAGCCAACAGCCATGACGGATTTGAGGCCAGCCAACAACCACATGTGTGAGCTTGAAAGCAGGTCCTTCCCCACCTGGCCAAGCTTTGAGATGACTGCAGCCTTGGTACCCAGCAAAGCCAAACCCAGATCCTTTACCCACAGTGCTGTGAGATAATAACTTAAGCCACTAAATTTGGGACAATTTGTTATACAGCGATAGATAACTAACAGCTATTAACTGGCAAAGATGGGATTTAAACTCAATTTTGCTTGTCTCCAGAGTCTGAGGTCTTAATTCATCTATTAATTTATGAATTCACTCCAGTATGCATTTGTGCCTATATACATGATAGATGCTATCTTAGAGACAATACATAAAGTGACGGATTAACAATCTACTTTCTCTAAAAAACAGGATCAGGGCAGGGTGCAGTGGCTCACGCCTATAATCCCAGCACTTTGGGAGGCCGAGGCGGGCAGATCATGAGGTCAGGAGATCGAGACCATCCTGGCTAACACGGTGAAACCCTGTCTCCACTAAAAAATACAAAAAATTAGCCGGGTGTGGTGGCGGGCGCCTGTAGTCTCAGCTATTCAGGAGGCTGAGGCAGGAGAATGGCGTGAACCATTCTCCTGCGGAGCTTGCAGTGAGCAGAGATGGCGCCACTGCACTCCAGCCTGGGCGACAGAGCGAGACTCCGCCTCAAAAAACAAAACAAAACAAAACAAAAAACAGGATCCATCCTACAGAATCCCTGTTATAGCATGGGACAGACTTGCTGTTCAAGCAGAAGCGGACAATTGCAGCCACATTTGCTTTCATCTACTGCCCTTTTTAACACGTGCCTGCCCTCCCCAGGACCCTCCCCTCCAAGGGTTTGCATCTCCAGTCCTTGTAGAGAAACAGCCTTTCCAGCCTGCAGCAAAGTTGAAGGCAAAGACACTTTGGGGGACATCTGGGCAGTAAGTTTGCTTACTCTCCTGGGAGAGGAAGTGGCCTTGATGATTCTGAGTTTGGCTACAGAATCAGGAGAGCGAGATATTTTTAAATGTTATATTAAACTGAGGCCATCGATTGGTTGTGTAAGTTCTTCCTGAAGCCCCCTATACACAGGGATGTGTAATGGGTAAGAACGGGAGCTGCTCAAATGCAGAAATGCCCCCTTGCAGAATGGACTCAGAGTAGGTCCACAGGGGAATCTGGAGGGCAGGAGAAACTTCTCTGAAATGCACTATATATGCTCTTGTTCTCTGTGGCCACTCCTCTTCCTAAGAGATTCTGTATCCTCGGGTAATTAATGTGGCCCTTCTTCTAACTGTGCAGTAGGGTTGATGCATGGTCTCAGCGATTTGGAGAATATTTCTTTCCGTTGGTGAAGATGACTTACTTCATGAACATAATTTGTATTCCCTAATTTGTGTACACAAACACCAAAACAAGAGATATTTTAAGTACGTGAGGGTCAAATATTTCTTAGCTAGCTAACCATGTTAATACTTCATCATGAAGAGGAGGATATTGGATTTCAATTTAAATCCAAATGTGTCTAGATTTAACTGCTATTAAAATGTACCAGTGTGCTGGTTCTTAAGTCATTTTGCCAGTCAGAGGTGGTGAATAATGTTGTTTTTACTTTTTATGGGTGTTCAGTTTACTCTAGACCAAGGGTTGGCAATTTTTTTTTCCTGTGATACAAAAAGTAAATATTTTAGGCTTTGCTGGCCACACACAACCTCTGTCCCAGCTGCTCACCTCTGCCTTGTAGCTTGAAAGCAGCCACAGATGATAGACATTATGTAAATGAGTGGGCATTTCTGTGTTCCAGGAGAACTATTTATAGAAACAGGTGGCAGGTGTAACTTGACCTTGGGGCTGGAGTTTGCCATCCTCTAGTCTGGACCCTTTTATCCCACCTCAGTCAGTTTATTTGGGAAGTGGGATTGGTGAGGGGAATGCATAGTAGAGAAACTGTTTTTCAGCTGAGTTATAATTTGAACATACCCAAATTCACTTCTTTAATTAAGATTCTTGTAGATTAACTTAGAGTACTGTTATTTAACAATCTGAACAGCTCAGGCTTTAGATAATCACTGCTGAATTTAAAAAGTCGAATTTAGTGTGAAGTCAATGAGGGGGATATAATTCTAAGGGAGAATTCCCCCGTTTCTCCATCCTAGATTGCAATTATTCATGAGTTGTCATTCTTATCAGACTTGAGCTCTTTAAAGACAGGGAAAACTTTACCTGCCACTGTGCAGATTCTATCGACATATAGTAGGTGCCCAATAAATGTTAACTGACAGAACACATAAGAAACAGGAGGCAAATCATCAGTTGCCATAATAAGCAATTAACATATAATGATCCTGATATATGTGAACATACAGAGAGCGCAGGTCTCTTTTCTCCACATATTAAAAAAGCAGGACCATATACATCCCACGGCAGCCATCTGCTATTGCTTTCCAACGCGGGCTCCCCAAGGCACCACTTCCTTGAGAAAGCTCACTGTGGCTGACCTAATCCTCAGAGGGTGAGCAATGCCAACTCAGGCTGGCTAAGAAGGCTGTGGTTACGCCCAACACAATTTCTTTTCTTTTCTTCTTCTTTTTTTTTTTTTTTTTTTTTTTTTTAAGCAGAGCACATTCAGGAGTAAGTATCTCCTTCTAGGAACTGTCCCTAAATCATACCAACCCCCCTCATCCTTTGACTATTTCCCTAGGCACGTGTAAGTAGAAAGCCCTCTCCAGTCAAGTATCCCAAAGAGCATTTGACTCCCATGCCTTTTGTGTGAGTCTTTTTGTGTTTGTTCCCTAAATAAGTCGACCACATTGAAAGATTATTTGTTAAGTATCTGGAATCCCCCAGACATTTAACAAATACTGTGGGGCTTTTGAGGTGAGGTAGACTCTGATCTGTACAGCAACCCAGGAATGAGGTGCAATGAGCCGTGCAGTCACTGAGGAGGACTGTGTGTTTCCAGGGACAGCCCTGTCCCTACCACTCCCCGTCCTGTGCTGCCCCCTCATCCCTTCTCCCTCCACTCCTCTGAGTTGGTCAAACCTTTCAGGGAAGGCAAAGCTTCCTATACACAGTGGGGACAAAAAGCTTCAAGTGCAAACACCCTTGGAAGAAGCAAGAAGTGGACAAATGAAGTGAACTTAAATGGTGGTAAAAGTGAGATATCAGAGCCTTCACTGATGTTACTGAGAGGCAGGATGGAGTGAAAAGGCAGTGACGCAAAGACATGATGAAGGAAGCGGGTTCCGAAAAGCAGGGCGGACGGGTGGAAACACAAGTGGCTCATTCACAGTGCAGCCTGAGGCTAGCTCTGGCAGGTGGGGCTCCTGAATCAAACAGCATCTTGCTAGCTTCTAGCATCCTATTTTAAGAAAGTAGGAATCTATGTTGAGAATAGACTAGATTCCCTTATTAGAGAAATCACGGAATCTTCCACAAAGCAACAACCATCTAGAATTCCCTAATTATCCCAATAGGACAGATTAATTAGGTCACTTTAGAGAAACAAATAAAATACACAGAAGCTGAAAGCACAGTGCAGAAATGGTTATATTTAGACCCTGGGTCCTAGGGCACTGTCAGATAATAAAGACTTTGGACTCTGCAAGCCATAGGATCTCTATCGAAATGATTGGACTAAGGATTTATAGTGTGAAAGCAGCCACAGACCATCTGTATATAAATGAGTGTGCCTAAATTCCAATACAATTTTATTAACAAAAACAGACTGTGGGCTGTGTTTGGTCCATGGGCCATAGTTTGCTGAACTCTGGCTTATATCACATTAAAGGAAAGACACATCCTTCCACCACTTAGACCCTGTACATCATAACATCTTACAAAGGATCTGGTTCTAAAGTCAATAAAACAATAGTCAGAATTATCTTAGAATCTAGAATTGCCTGTGGGAACAGCCACCTACTGAGGGGAGAGCATATCACATCTCCCACACCAAGTTCCTCCCAAGTAATTCATGCAGTGACAGCAGATGAGCTCATGCCACTTAAATTATCTCTCATGCCAATAACTTCTCATAACTTAAATGCAAGTGCTATAGGAAGTCAGCATTCACAACAAGCTTGAATAATGCATAGACTCTTTCTAAAAGAAAGATAAAATCTCTTGGACTGTTGGCATTGTTTTAGATTACTTTCATTGCAATGTTGCATCAATGTACACAAAACTAACACAACTAGATGCAAAGTGCTTTTGCTTACAACTCTTCTATAATTCTGACACCAACATAAGTGTAAAAACTAAATACGAAGCCAGTAACAATTGACTGCATTAAAATGACGCAGTGGATAATGGCATTTCACTCCAATTACATCACTGTTTATAATGTAAAAACAAAATGTCACTAATTGCCACAGCCCCAAACTACTGCAAACCATCACCATTCCATCACTGGGCCTTCACTTTGTGTATACACATCATTTACAAATCAATTCCCTTCTCCCCTTCAATGGCCAGGAAAGTGTCATACTCCCTCACAGAAATGATGAAAATCCCTGAAATTGTACATTCACTGTTTTCAAAGGGAACTCAAAGTCCCCTTAGAATGCATTTGGACACCCCAGTCAGAGAACCATTGCTAATAAACACTGGATTGCTTAAACCTTGTTACGTTTCTGAAGTAATTTCTGTCCTATAAACCTCTACGGTATTTACTGTTTTTGCCACTAAGGTGACATTTGTCAGCTAGTACCACTTTCCTCTCTCTGTCTCTTTTCTTTTATAGGCTTTGAATATACTTTGTTCTTATCTACCACACTGGTCATTTGTTCCTTCAGACTAGAGACCAAGGCAGGTGGACTCTGCCCTGGAGGCACATGTCCTAACCTGGGTTACAACTATATGACTCGAAGGAAGTCCACGTATCTTCTCTGAGCCTGTTTCTCCACCTGCAAATTAGGAAGCTGAACTTCAAGGTCCTTTCCATCTGTTCTCTTCTCTAGTTTTACGAACCAAAAAAGAGGGATCTAACCCAAAGCATTCTTACTCAGGTATGTGTAGAGACAAATACAGTGTCTTACTCTAATAGAAAACCCATGAATCTGTTTCTTTAAAGAGAAACATCAGAGCAATAGAATAGTACAACTAAAATGGACCCCAGGGATTATTTAGTCTATTGTCCTTATTTAGTAAATTAATTTATTTGAATGTCTGCTTATGGCCTGGGCCTTATGCAAGATGTTGGAGATTTGTTAATTTTTTATTTTTAGACAAGGTTTTGCTCTGTCGCCAGGCTGGAGTGCAGTGGCATAATTTTGGCTCACTGAAGCCTGGACTTCTGAGGCTCAAGTGAGCCTCCCACTTCAGCCTCCTGAGTAGCTGGGACTACACGTGCACAGCATCGCACCCAGCTTATTTTTTGTAGAGATGGGGTTTCGCCATGTTGACCAGGCTGGTCTTAAATTCCTGAGCTCAAGGGATCCACCCACCTCAGCCTCTCAAAATGCTGGGATTACAGGTGTGAGCCGCTGCGCCCAGCCAAGATGTTGGAGATTAATAACAAACACAACAAGTACTTATTCTTATGGAGACTAAATTATACTGAAGAGGACTGAGATAAGTCAGGAAGCAATTAAAATATAATAACAAAAATTATATAATATGAAAAATATAAAATATTATCTATATTAATAAAAGTTGCTATAGCTACTTTAAGAGCATTGGTTAGCATCTAACCTGGACCTGGAGGATCCAGAAAGTCTTCTAGGAGAACATCATTCCCCAGTGATCCCTGAAGGACCTCAGAGCTATCAAGACAGCAGAGGATTCTGGTGGGCGTGACCCACTGGGGACCACATGCCTTGAGTTTAGGGGGACACCAGCTGACCTCCAGCTGAAAACTGCCAAATAGAAATTTGGGCCCCGAGATGCCATGTCTTCTGATTTTTCAAGAGAAGCAGAATATTTGGATTTTTAAATAATTACTGATTCCTAAATTTTGTCACAATTTTAATTTTTAAAAATACTATTAAATAAAGTCCTCATTTAACCCATATATTGTCCCCTGGGTCTCTGGTACTCCCTACCCACTGTAGCCCCAGGCCTTCCCTTCTTCGTTTGCCAAGTGTTCTTGTGTATCCCTCGCAGGACAGTGGAAACATGGACCCAGGACTTCTGTTTGAGGCAGACATTTATAATGAAGTGTGAGCTAGGCACTCTGGCATGGGTATATGAACTTAACTAGAAAACATTTGGCCGGGTGCAGTGGCTCATGCCTGTAATCCCAGCACTTTGGGAGGCCAAGGCAGGCAGATCACTTTATGTCAGGAGTTTGAGACTAGCCTGGCTAACACAGTAAAACCCCATCTCTATTAAAAATACAAAAATCAGCCAGGCATGGTGGCGTGCACCTGTAATCCCAGCTACTCAGGAGACTGAGGCAGGAGAATGGCTTGAACCCAGGAGACAGAGGTAGAAGTGAGCCAAGATTGTGCCACTGCACTCCAGCCTGGGCAACAGAGCAAGACTCCGTCTCAAAAGAAACAAAAAGAAAGAAAAAAGAAAATATTTGGAATTTGGAGGGCTGAGGGGGATTCTGAACATTTCTTCTATTTAACCAATCTTTTCTTTCATTCTCATTGGTCCAACAAGAGGTCAAAATGTCCCTCAATAATTCAAGCAATTTAAGTCTCTGGGGAATTTACAGATCTCAAAAACATTTGCCCAACTCAGCTTCAGGTTTCCCATCAACACTTAGCATGAAGCGGCTACATCAGCCTTGGGGAATGCTCATTTCACAGTAGAATAGGCAGTTTTCAGGAGAACAGAAGCCCAGATGGGAGAAGCAGAATACAAATCATAATTCCAAAGTGGAAAATTCAACTTTGATGTGCACTTGACAGATGCAAGAGAAACAAATCCCAAGTATTTGAAGAGGAAAGTTGCCATGGCATTTTTGCAAAACACCACCAGAGAGAAGGAAAATTCTGTGGTACACATATTTTCCCTTTTCTTGCTTTTTCTTCATTAGGCAAGAACTTCAGAAGAGCTCTGGAAGGAGAAAATCGGATGTCAAGAAGACCCCTTCAGAGTTGGGTTCCCAGGAGGAACAGGGGGCATGTCACGTGATAGCAGTGATTCTAGGTCCCCACTCCATGCACCACAGCAACTGTGGGGAGGCTCAGCTCTGCTCCTCCCACCCGATGGGGGACAGACAGTAGCATTCTCAGCCACTGCCTAATTACCAGCTAACTAATCAGTGAGGAGGGGAAATCCCAGGTCCCTGCTGTTTCTTAATAATTAATCCATAAACTGGTTAATCTGACAGCCTCTCCTCTCCATCTCCCAGCAAAAACCCACAGTGGGCTCCATCCCCCAGTCACACAAGATAGAACCCCAAGAGTGGTCTTCAATGTTCCTCTCATTGTACCCTCCCACAATCACGTACCAGAGGCTGTATGTCCACCTTCTCCGTGTCTCTCGCATCTCTGCTTTCGAATTCTCGCTGCATCTCCTTTGGTTCAGTCTCCCCCTCCCCCATTTCATGGCTCCACTACTAAAATGGCCTCCCTATCACCTCTCCTTCCTCCAACTCATCCTCCCTTCTGCTCCCCAAACTATTTACATGGAACAGGTTACATATGTCACTCTCCTGCTGAAAAACTTTATCTAAATCCCCATTGCCTATAAATTTAAGTTCAAAATCTTGTGTGTGGTATTGACTCTTCTGCGATCTGTACCCACTGCCTTGCCTTGGAGAATAATATTAATTCTTAAGTGAACACATGAACACTGGCAAACGCAAAGGGCTCAGCCCTGGTGTTTCCGTGGGCACACAGGGAGAGGCCACCTTTCTGTGACTCTACACACCACCGTCAAATAGCTAACAACAGGGTAACTTGATCACTTGCTGCTCAGGAAGTCGCTTATAAAAAGTTCTCCTAGTCACTTTCCCAACCCACTCACCATCTCACCTGCTGCTTTGAGCGCTGTGACTTGCTTTCTACCTCTTCAGCTCTTCGTTCAAGCGCCTCATTTTTCTCCCACTTTCCTGGCTATTCCTTCTGCATCTCCTTTGCTAATTCCTCTTTTCTTCTCTCTACTCTGAGGACTCAGTAGCCCCTGGCCCTGGGCCCTCTTTTTTCTCTCTCCACTCTCATCCTTGTAGACCTCATCTGGTCTTATGGCTTTAAAGACCTTCTAGACTCTGATACTTTGAAATGTATATACATAGCCCTGGCCTCTGCCTAAGCCCCAGATTTGAATATCCAACTATCTACTTGGTATTGTCACTAAGAGACAGCTCAAATTCAATACTCAAGGACTCAAGTATGACAACAGCTTGTTTACCCCACCCTAACCTCCAGCCTGCTCCTCTTCCCACTTTTATTTCTTTATTCTTTTTTTTTTTTGAGATGGAGTTTCACTCTGTCGCCCAGGCCGGAGTGCAGTGGTGCGATCTCGGCTCACTGCAACCTCTGACTTCTGGGCTCAAGCGATTTTCCTGCCTTAGCCTCCTGAGTAACTGTGATTACAGGTGTGTGTCACCACACCTAGCTAATTTTTGTATTTTTAGCAGACACGGGGTTTCGCTATGTTGGCCAGGCTGGTCTTGAACTCCTGACCTCAAGCGATCCGCCTGCCTCGGCCTCCCAAAGCTCTGGGATTGACAGGTGTGAGCCACTGCACCCAGCCTATTTGTGTAATCTTTATAGACCTCTCATTAAATAGTAGTATTAGCTTCCATCTAACTACTTAGGGCCCAAAACCTGGCGACCTTTTAAGAACACCCACCTTGGTTGCCCTAGTTAAAATTGCAGCTGCTCCCCTGCCCCAGGGTCCCTCTTCTGCTCTATTTTTTTCTTTTTACCATAACAAATATCTTCTGAACATGTATTATAATTCACTTATTGTTTTTTTACCTTTATTTTCTGTTTCTTTTTCTAAAATGTAAACCAGGCCGGGCACAGTAGCTCACGCCTGTAATCCCAGCACTTTGGAAGGCCAAGGTGGGAGGATCATTTGAGGCCAGGAGTTCAAGATCAGCCTGGGCAACATAGTGAGACCCTGTCTCTACAAAAACTAGCCAGGTGTGGTGGCATCACCTGTAGTTCCAGCTACGTGGGAGGCTGGGGCCAGAGGATCACTTGAGCCCAAGGAGCTTGAGACTGCAGTGAGCTATGATTGCATTAGTGCACTCCAGCCTGGGCAACAGAGCAAGGCCTCGTTTCAACAAAATAAATAAAAATAAAATAATAAAGTGTAAGTTCCACAAGGGCAGGAAGCTTTGACTATTCTGTTTACCGGTATAGCCATCACCCAGAACAAGGGCAGGTTCATGATAGGTATTCAACAAGTATGTGTCAATGAATGAATGAGTGATGCTTGACCCACACTGCTTTCTTTCCTAGCCCACAACTGGTACAGCAACAATGGTGAATGAACTCCGCCTTCAAAATACATGACGATCTGACCGACCGTTCCTCACCACCTCCACTGCCAACACCCCAATCCAGTCACCTCCATCTTTTACTTGGATTATTCTAGGAGCCTCTCACCTGATCTCTCTGCCCTACTCCTGACTAGCCCCTCAACTCCATTCATTGCACATGACGGTCAGAATGGTCCCTTTAAAGCATAAGTCAGTTCATGTTCCTCTTCACACACATTTCTCCAGTGTCCTTCCAGAACAGATATGAGCAGCATGAACTCCCTCCTGTTTTGGCCTTTGCATGCATCCCTGGTCCCACTTCCTGCCATGCTTCCCAGCCATGGTGACCTCTGGCTGATTGTGGATAGTCACTTTGCCTTGGACTCAGAGTTTTCTACCAGCCATATACCTTGCCTGATAAACTTTTCTCCCAGAACTTCATGTCATGTCTCTGCTCAAATGTCACCTCGTTTGCAAGGCTTTCCTTGGCTACCCTGTCTGCCACCTTCCACCATCACCAAACTTTATCTCTGTTCTCCTTCATTTCTTTTTCTCCATACCACATATTACTGGAAGTAAAACTTATTTGACTACTCATTCATTGACCGTTTCTCTCATAAGAATGTAAACTCCAGGAGGGCAGGGATCTGTGAGCTGTTCACCTCATATCCCAAGGGTCCAGAAGTACCCGGCACACACTGGGGCTCAGTAAATATGGGTTGAATGAATGAATGGAAGCCGATTCCTGAGGTCGTGCTCAAGCTTCTGTGACTCCTGCACTGACTATGGGGAAGGGATGTGTCCTCCCATTAGAGGGAGCAGTTGCTACTAATGCAACATTTCCAAGGCCTGTCCTTTCACCCCAGTGGGTTTCAGGCAGAAGTAAAACCAGCAGGGCCAGGCACAGTGGCTCATGCCTGAAATCCCAGAACTTTGGGAGGCCAAGGCAGGTGGATCACCTGAGGTCAGGAGTTCGAGACCAGCCTGGCCAACATGGCGAAACCCCACCTCTACTAAAAACACAAAAATTAGCCAGGTGTGGTGGTGCATGTCTGTAGTCCCAGCTACTTGGGAGGCTGAGGCAGGAGAATCACTTGAAACTCAGGAGGCGGAGGTTGCAGTGAGCTGAGATTGTGCCACTGCACTCCAGCCTGAGTGACAGAGTGAGACTCCATCTCAAAAAAAAAAGAAAGAAAAAAAAAAAAAAACCCAACCCAGCAGCAAAGGGCATCTGCCATGGCTGGATGAAGCCATTTAGATGGTGTTTTGGGTCCTTATACTGATGAAACTTCTGTGAAGGTCTGTCAAGTGAACAGGTCTATGAGGAGACAATGCCTCCATGGAAGCCAGTTGAACCTGAAGGCTAATAAGAGAGCCAGTTCCAATTGAGTCCCTCGTGGTGAAAAGGATAAAATAACTCTGAGACAGTGAACGAAAGAAAGAAAATTATATCCTACCAGGAGATATCTTTTATTGCCTTTATTTATTTTATTGCCTTTTATTTATTGTGGCGCTTAAACCCAATAGCCTCTAAGAGCAGAGACGTGCAAATAGGATGTCTTAAGGGAGGAGCAGGAGGGGAGGTCTAGAAATTGGCAAGGCGTTAATGTTAAGAAAAGATTCCTAATTCCCTTTGTCCTTTTTCTGGAAAGTGAGAGGGGAATCTCCTCCAGGACCTTCTCCTGAGAGAGTGAGGTTGGGGCCTAGAACAGGATGAGTTTCTGAGTTGTAAAACCCATATCTGAGTTCTTGCTGTGTGACAGCCTTCCTGGGAAAGTCATTAGCATCTCTGAGAGTCACTTTCCTCCTTGGCTTCTTTTTTCTTTGTACCATCTTTCTCCCTCTTCTAAAGGATTTATTTGAGACAGCTATAAACAGAGATAACGATATAACCTAATCTACTTGCCCGAAGACAGGAAAGAACTCTGCAAATGGTGAACAAGATGGTGGTGTCACACTCCCCACCAGGAAAACAATGACTTCATGTCTCCAGATCTGATATCATGAAATTATACCAGAAGCATATCAGATCAAATGACCATTAACTGTTCAGTGATGACTGACATGTAAGCCACTGTGCGATAAGAATGACAAATTCAGTCCTGCCCTCATGGAGCTTATAATCAACTGGAGGAGTTTGGTGTTAATAAACAAAATGACCCACGTGCATGTCTGCTTGCCAGGTATTCTAAGGACAAACACTAACGACCCCCACGCACCACCCTGAGGACACCTAGCAGAGGAGCCTGATCCCACCTTGGGGCTCAGGGTGGCCAACAAGAGGGAAGGAGCACTTGATCGAGTTCTGAAGGATGAGCAGGGGCCAGCTCAGCAGAGATGTGAAGAAAGGGGACAACCCATATAAAGGCCCGGGATGGACATGACCACCAAAGTCAGCATGGATGGAGCTTAACATATTTGGTTACATGATACAGTTTGGCTTGTGTCCCCACCCAAATCTCATTTTGAACTGTAGTTCCCATAATTCCCATGTGCTGTGGGAGGCAACCAGTGGGAAGTAATTTAATCATGGAGGCGGGTCTTGCCCATGCTGTTCTCGTGATAGTGACTAAGTCACAGATCATGAGATCTGATGGTTTTATAAAGAGCAGTTCCCCTGCACATGCCTGCTGCCATGTAAGATGTCCCTTTGCTCTTCCTTCATCTTCTGCCGTGATTGTGAGGCCTCCCCAGCCATGTGGAACTGTGAGTCCATTAAACCTTTTTCCTTTATAAATTACCCAATCTGGGGTATGTCTTTATTAGCAGCATGAGAAAGGACTAATACAACATGGAAGGTCAAGGGAGTTACGTTGAGGCCAGAGAGTGCACTGAGGCCTGGCCGTGCTGCAGTGGCCTCTCAAGTCACATGCATGGTGTGAGTTGAAACCTCATTTACAAACGCAGGTGTGGACGAAAGTTTGCCAAGAACATTTTTAAAATAGTGCATTAAATATTATTTATCTTGACTACTGACTTTTTTGACATTCCCTTAAATTTTGCATGCTAGTACCAGCCCCATTAATTCTAACACTCTTGGGAAGCTGTAAAGGGTTTTAAGCAAGAGGATCACATTATTAGTTTTCCCTTTTAAAATATACTGAGAAATTCGCTTGGAATAATATTGACAAGATAGCTTTTAAAATACAGGAGTAATGAAGACCTTCCATGCAAAATGAGCAAAGGAGAGCAAACCATTGAGAAAAGAAACATATTGCTAGTGATGAAAGGGAACTCTATTTCTACCTGATACCCAGTAGTGGTTTGACAAATTTACTAGATGGGACAGCCTACATCTCTAATCGTAAGAAATCACAGGGGTTTTGAAAGGCCTCATGTAGGATTGAACAGCTGGAAAAGAGGTACAATCAGGAATTTCTGCATGTTAACACTGTAATCCATGCTTTGGTGGGCTGCACAACCTGTTGTAAGGCTAGGACCACACCAACAGTAATAAGTGTATATCCCAAATTCTCAGCCCTTGCATTGTATCTCCTAGATTCTCCTCTACATACTTGTAGAAGTCTCTGTGCTTCTCCCTTATTTGTAGATGAACACATCTCATCCCTGAAAGCCCCATAAGGGTGCCCTGTCTCTGTCCAGGTGTAGCCTGTTGAGGGTGAGGGTCTGGGGCATTACCCCAGTGACTTTCCACTGCCCGTGAAGGGCCTGGTGTTGCTAAGTAGCCACCAATGGGCCTCTTCCTGTCCCACAGTCACTTCAGAAAATCCTGGAGTAGACATGATACCAGCCCAAGCAAAAGCTGTCTCCAACAACACACACACACACATTCCACAATGTTGTCTCTTTCCGTAATCCCCAGTGGAGTCATAGACCCAAATGATGGAAAAACAGTCCTTTTCCTTCAAGAAATAAGCATGACTGGATGCTGAAATTGTCTGCAGAGTGTAATGAGGCAGAGGATTTCATTTACCAGGGTGTGAACAGAACTGCCCACTCCAGTGAGTTCCTTGTGCTTCCCTCCCTAGGGAGAGAGGCTCAGGGAGGAACCATGAAGCTGCAAGGCCCGGGTAGCCCAGAGAGGCCCAGATGATCAGGCAGGAGGGAAAAGTCCTCAGTGCACCTCCAGAAGAAAAGGGGTACACAGGTTGGCTGGCAAAGAGGGATAAAGAAAGTCCTTGGGGATAGGTTGTCTGGGAAAGTTTGGTGAAGAAACTGAGGGTTTAAAAAGGAAGAATATTTGCAGGGGGTGAGAGAACTAAAGAGGAACAGGCAAGGGCATAGTAAGAAGTATGGGTATGCGTTTTTATGAACGAGGCCCTATATCCCATGTAGCCGTTAGATATGTGGATCCTGGCTTATGTTTAAGTTACCAGAAAGATGCTCAAGACCTGATGGACCTGAATCTTATGCGTGTCTCAACCATGTGGTATTCATTTCTGCCTAGAAAGACCAATAAGACAAAAAAAGAAAATACAAAGGGAGTGACGACACTCATAAATCCAGCCCCAAGTCAGCGAATGAGGGGATTCTCTTTTGGTCCTGGTTGAATGCCAAACTGACCACCGAAAATCTATTCTTCAGAGCTAGCATCTACTTACAGCTAGGTATGTAATGACTAAGTTCTTGTTAATAAAAATCACTTACTGCACAATGATCAAGGCCCTCTTATTTCAATGAGTGTCTGGCGGCCACCTCAAAGTGCAGCCCCTTCCCTAAACTTCGTGCCTGAATATCTGACACAGTCCTATTTCCCACTGTTTTCTTCCTTTGCAGTATTTATCAACACATGCAATTATATATTCATTTATACAATTATTTTATTAAGATCGCTCTCTCCCCCTTCAGACTATAAACTTCATGAGGCATAGAAAAATGTTTTGCTACTCTTGCTGATGTTACTGCCAACCAGGACAAGGCCTAACATACTAGAAGTTTTGTGGAAGAATAAAGCAATAAACGAACTGCCCACTTTGGTGTTCAGATCTATTTTGTTTGGAATTGTGCCTTATTTGTAAATAAGGTTTTATAGGAACACAGCCACACTCAATTGTTTAATATTATCCATTAATATTATCCATAGTTTTGGCTACAATGGCAGAGTTGAGTGGCTGCAATGGAGATCATATGGCCCACAAGGTCTAACACATTTACTATCTGAGCCTGTACGGGAAATGTTTGCTAACACCTGTATTAGGCCATCACTCTCACAAAGATTAGAGTTACTCTTCTTTTGTAATCCCTCGAGCACCTCGTTCTATTGAATAATGACCCAAACCTTCTGACTTAAAACACACCATTTTCCTCTGGAGAGAAGAAGATCACATAATAAATTTCTCTGCTCTGTGAGAGTTTTCTCTGTAGTGTTCAGAGAGAGTTCTTTTTTACAATTAATCACAGAATTTTAAGGCACATTGGTGTCGTGAGCAATGAAGTCATCCCTATGCTTGAAGAGAGCTGCTCTTACATGAGCCCAGGAACAAAGTTTTTACCGCTTTCCATCAAGAAGACCACAGAAATGGAGGCTGTGTCGCAACACAGGGTGATGCACATGACAGAATGGTAGCAAAGAAATATTCAAAATTGTATGCAGTTTAATGCAGTTATACAAAGATGTGAATGCAACGTAACAATGACTGAAGGGAATACCCAAAATGAAGAGAGTTGTTGAGGTACAATAGTGGGATTATTGGTAATTTTTTCTTCTCCCGTATTTTCATTGATGATGATGATGATGATGATGATGATAACTGCTATAGTTAGCACCTATGGGGCACACTGTAAGGCACCATGCATTTTAGGGGCATTAGCTCATGAGATCCTCACGTCAACTCCAAGGGGTAGGTTAGCCTGTTCTCATTACTTGTGGTGGTTCTGAGCAAATACTGAAGCATTGCTCTGGGGAGAGATACAGGGCTAGGTGTCTGTGAGCCTCTGGTCACATTTTCATCAACTGATAAATACATAACTTTGTTTAACATGTGTTTCTACTTAAAGACTGTTTATTGAGTATATATTGTTGATTCACTAACATTGGACTCACAGCAACAGCACTACAACTCAGGCCTGGACGAAGCTTATCTAACACTCATATTTCTTCCCAAGGCACATCACAGCCTTCTTGCACTTAGGAACACTGGACAGTAGGCTGGCACTATCCTTGGACCATTTCAAATAGTAAAATCACCAAAAAAAAAAGCAGAAAAATGTTTTAAAATGTGGCACTAAGCTGACCACAAAAAGGAGAGTTGTTTACAGTATGAGGGCTGAAACAAAAAGGGCTGTCACCTGGTTTAACTTCAACTAGAAACATGCATGGGGAACAACTCCAGTTTTTCACTGTTCCACACATGTCTGCAAATAACCACAAAAGCACAGTGAGCATTGATTTTGCCGTTACGAAGACATTTTAGCAAGTAGTGAATTCACAAATATGGAAACTGTGAATAATGAAGATTGACTGTTTTATGATTTCCCCCATTTCACATATTCTGAAGACAGGAAAAGAAAAGAGAATTGGGGGCTGAGGGAAGGGAGGGGAGGAGAGAAGAGCTGGAGCCAGAGATGTGTTAGGCTCTTTTTTTTTCCAAGGAAATATTAGTGGGTGTTTAAAATCAGGGTGTCCTCCTTCATGCTGGATTGATATTTGACTGAAATTTCAAGCCTGTCCCCTGCTTCTCTGCCTACTGTCAAGATGGAAATAAAAGACTGAAAATCTCTGCGCATAAGTAGACACTCAAGTCCACCACCAACTCTG